>NC_000010.11:83021883-83173398 GCF_000001405.40 Homo sapiens
TCATGTATATTCTAGGTGGGCTCCAAATCAGCCAGCTACCTTCACTCATAATTTTTTAACCAGAAATGTCAGCATGAAAAACACAATATTATAAAGTAAAAGCACTGATTTAGACAATGTGGTATAATACATTATTTTATTGAATAGTAGGTATTAATTTACTTTCTTACCTAACCCTAAACTTTAAAATGATGTGAACATGCAAAATCTAAAAATTCCAGTTAGTTTCTAAGGGAATAAAAATTTTAGCCTCTGGATTTCGGTCACTTTCTACCAGTTGTTTCATTTTAAAGAAGAGCTGGTGATGTAAGTACTACTTTCACTCTGAGCTTTACACTACATGATTAATGAAATTATTTTCTTCAAACTTATATAAAGGAGCTTCCAACACAGACATCATGTGTGTGTGTGTGTGTGTGTGTGTGTGTGTGCGTGTGTGTGTCTGTGTGTTACTATTTAAAGATATAAGACAATGTGATTTCTATTATTTGCAAAGCCTGTATTAAATTCATCTAGAGACTGAGTCCTGTCAATCTTATTGTTTCTTGAGCTATTTTCTCTCTCTTTTCTATCTTTTTTTTTCTGCCTCAGATCACTATTCAGATTTTTTGAGATTTCATTTTTATGTTTTTTATTTGCAAGATTTCCAGTCAGCATTTCTGTGTACTCACCAAAATTCTTGTATCATGAATGAAATAATCTCAATTATATTTCAAAGAATTTCATTCCCCTCCCTGTGTCTATGTGTTCTCATTGTTCAACTCCCATTTATGAGTGAGGACATGCAGTGTTTGGTTTTCTGATCTTGTGATAGTTTGCTGATACTGGTGGTTTCCAGCCTCATCCATGTCCCTGCAAAAGACATGGACTCATCCTTTTTTATGGCTGCATAATATTCCATGGTGTATATATGCCACATTTTCTTTATCCACTCTATCATTGATGGACATTTGGGTTGGTTCCAAGTCTTTGCTATTGTGAATAGTGCTGCAATAAACATACGTGTGCATGTGCCTTTATAGCAGCATGATTTATAATCCTTTGGGTATATACCCAGTAATGGGATGGCTGGGTCAAATGGTATTTCTAGTTCTAGATCCTTGAGGAATTGCCACACTGTCTTCCACAATGGTTGCACTAATTTACACTCCCACCAACAGTGTAAAAGCATTCCTATTTTTCCACACCCTCTCCAGGGGCCTGTTGGAGGGTGGGGGGCTGGGGGGAGAGACAACATTAGGAGAAATACCTAATGTGGGTAACAGGTTGATGGGTGCAGCAAACCTCCATGGTATGTGTATACCTATGTAACAAAACTGCACCTTCTGCACATGTAACCCAGAACTTAAAGTATAATAAAAAAATTAAAGCCATCATTATTAAAAAAAATTTCATTGATCATAGTTCTGAAGTACGTTTTTGTCTGTTGGGTTAGCTCTGTTTCTTTGGGTGATGTTTCTTAATCATGTTAGCACTACCCATTTTTCCTGTAATTTTTATGTGTGAACTCATGTTTGTATTTAAATTTTCCTGAAATCCTTCAGCTGACTTTATAAATTTACCTTAATGCATTAATTTCTTCAAAACCAGATCCCCTTTCACTACCTTGAGGTCTAATTTCTGTGTTGTTACTTCTATCTTCCCAGGTTAACACTGTCCAGCAGTTTTCTGAAAAGGCATTAATATGTCATTTTCCTCTTTGATAAATTCCAACTTTGCCCTCCACCTCTCCTGGCTACTTCATAGACTCTTTCCACCAAAATTTACTTTTCTCACACTTGAACACAACCATGCCTATACTCATTGCCCCTCAATATTTCCAGAATTTGGTATGGTATGCGTCATCCTGTAGTTCTAATTATTTAAAATAATTATGTCATGCTTTTGTCTGAGTAAATTCATAATGAGAAAATACATTGTGAGTAAAATGTTGGACCAAAGCCAATGGATATTTCGTGCCTAGCTATTTTTATGCAACATATGCCCCAAGGGCTGCATGGGAACAGCAGAAATAATATGACTCCTACAGTAGTTTGCATATTTTCACAGTTTTCCAACTGCTTCATTTTGGTTTTAATGCTTAAAATGTCCCTGTATAGTGGACAGAACAAGCATTACTTTATTCAATTTACAGTTGAGAAAACAATGAATTACTTCTCTATCATAATAGAAAAATCATGAATTATTCTCAGACTTATTGATTCTAAATTCAGTAAATTTGATTTATGCAATGATACTATTTCTCTTAATAGTAACACCATGTATTAAATAAATACATACATATATGTATGTGTGTGTACTGTGTGTATAAATCTGTGTGGATGTGTGCATTTATGGGTTGGTATACATGTATACACATACATGTATACACAGATAAATGTGCGTGTGTGTGTGTGTGTTTGTGTTTGTTGAGATGAAGTCTTCCTCTGTCTCCCAGGTTGCAGTATAGTAGCTTGATCTCGGCTCACTGCAACCTCTTCCACTAAGGCTCAAGCAATTCTCCCTCTCCCACCTTAGCCTCCTGAGTAGCTGGGACTACAGGTGGGTACAACAATGACAAGGTATTTTTTGTATTTTTTGTAGAGGTGGGGTTTCACCAGGTTAGCCGGGCTGGTCTCAAACTCCTGCCTCAGCCTCCCAGTGTTGGGATTACAGGTGTGAGCCACTGTGCCCGGTTATTTAAGGACAAAGAGTAACAAGCAATAAAATACAAAATCAGCTTCTTATCCAGAAATCAGCCTCCCTAAAAAAGTGTAACACAATTGTCTGATTAACTTAGAAGAATGACATATTTCAAGAGGTAGGTAAGATGTAATACAAAGAATACATTTTCAGTGACACAGAAACTTGCTATTTAATGTTATCCTAGGAAGTTAAAATGTAAAAAAATTGCTTCATCTTTACAGCACAAAAGGTATGCAAACATAGAATATTACTTTCCTTTCTGCTGACACCTCCTGGATAAGCAGAGAGAGAATGTAAAAAAAAATTGTTAAATTCATTTTCTATAACGTATATAAAAAATTCTAAAATCAAGAGAGATTAATTGATTTGTTAAGGTAATAAAAAATTTTAATATGAGGCCTAGACTAGGACTTGTCTCTAAAATACGAATCTATTTTTGCTACCACGTAATTCCTTGACCCAGGGGAAAAGTTAATGTGTTTAACCAGTCAATGACTTTTACTTTGCACAAAACAAAGACAATAAGTAATCAGGCAAGGAGTGGTAACATTAACTGGAATGGCAAAATCTAGAAGAGAAACAAGTATGAGAGCAAAAACAGATGAGTTTTTTTGTAGACATCTGAGCAGATATAAATATATCTAAAGACTTGTACAATCTTATTAGTAATATTCCTCTGTGTGATATTCTTCTTTTTGGCTGGGCATGGTGGCTCACATTTGTAATCCTAGCACTTTGGGAGGCCGAGGAGGGTGGACCATGAGGTCAAGAGATCGAGACCTTCCTTACCAACATGATGAAACCCTGTCTCTACTAAAAATACAAAAATTAGCTGAGTGCGGTGGTGTGTGCCTGTAGTCCCAGCTACTTGGGAGGCTGAGGCGGGAGAATTGCTTGAACCCTGGAGGTAGAGGTTGCAGTGCACCGAGATCATGCCACTGCACTCCAGCCTGGTGACAGAGCAAGATTCCGTCTCAAAAAAACAAAAAAAAAGAAAAAAAGAAAAAATATATATAAGATGTTTTTCCAATATGAACACATACAAAGCTATATTCCTTACTCTTTAAAATATTTGCATGGTATTCCATTGCAAGAATACAACATATTAAATTTAAACAATTTCCTATTGATTGACAGATTTTCTTCAAAATTTTACTATAAATAATACTGAATATCTGTATTCAAATAACTCAGCATACTTTTGTAAATATATTTGGAGCATTAATTCTGGCAGCTTTATTTACATACAGTAAAATTCAGCCATGCAAAGAGTACACATTTGATGAATTTTCACTGATTGTACTGCCATGTAACCACCACCACAATCTCAGTATGGATATTTTCACACCCAGACAATTTCCATGTAGTACTTTGCAGTCTCTTATCATTTATCCCAGAACTGGGTAACTGTTGGTCACACCTCTGTCGCTATAATTTTGCCTTTTCCATAATTTTATATGAGTGGGGTCATAACTTGTACTCTTTGATATTTCTTTTATTTAGCATTCTGCTGCTGAGATTAAATTTTCATTTTGTGTATATTGGTAGTTGTTCCTTTGGATTGCTGACAACAATATTGAGCCTTCCGATTCAACATGGTTTATTGCTTCATTTGTTTATGTCTTTATTTACCAATATTTTGTAGTTTCAACATAAAGGTTTACATATGAATACATACATATGTCATGTGCTATATATGTGTGTGTATGTTTACATGTATATGTATACATGCATATATACATGTGTTTTTGTGTTTACATTTAAGTAGCATAGTTGATGAAGTTAGTTTAAAATAATTTTTTCTTTCTTTTCTTTTTTTTTAGACAGAGTCTTACTCTATCGCCCAGGCTGGAGTGCAGTGGTGCGATCTCGGCTCACTGCAACCTCTGACTCCCTGGTTCAAGCTATTCTGCTGTCTCAGCCTCTCCAGTAGCTTGGATTACAGGCACGTGCCACCACGCCCAGCTAATTTTTGTATTTTTAGTAGAGACAGGGTTTCACCATGTTGGCCAGGATGGTCTTGATCTTCTGACCTCGTGATGCACCCGCCTTGGCTGCCCAAAGTGCTGGGATTACAGGTGTGAGCCACCACACCCAGCCTCATTGCAATTTCTAATTCCCTGTGCTAGTATGTAGAAATGCAATTGATCTTTGTATATTGACTTTGTACTCTTTGACCTTGTTAAACTCACATGGAAGTTTAAATAGCTTACTTGTAGATTGCTGAGAATTTTCTACTTTTATGATGATGATCATGTTGTTAGTCTTATTTTTCAATCAGTACACACTTATTTATTTATTACCATAGCTAGGACCATCAGTACAATGTTGGGTATAATGGGCGAGAGTAGAAACACTTGCCTTGCTTCCGATATTAATGGAGAAACAACTCTATTTTATATTATCAATATATTTGAGTCTTTGCTTATCTGAGAATGTCTTTATTTTGCCTTTATTTTTGAAAAAATAATTGTTTTGGGTATAGAATTCTTGTTTGAAGGTTCAGACCCCACCCCCAGCATTTTGGATACCATCCCATTTTTCTGGCCATTATAGTGTTATTGTTCCCCTGTGCATGATGAGTCCATGTTTTTCCCGCTGCTTGCAATATTTTCTTTTTGGTCTTGGATTCGTCAGTTTGGCGATAATGTGCCTACATGTGGATCACTTTGTGTTTAACCTATTGTGAGCTTCTTGGGCCTGAAGATCCATGTTTTTCAATTGATTTAAAACTTTAGCTTGCATTACTTCTTCTTATATTTATTTCTGCCTCTTTCTCTAAAGATCTCTGGTCTTTCTGGGTCCTCCATTGTGCATTTATTGGTACATTAAAGGGAATAAAATACCTAGGAATACAACTTACAAGGGATGTGAAGGACCTCTTCAAGGAGAACTGCAAACCACTGCTCAAGGAAATAAGAGAAGACACAAACAAATGGAAAAGCATGCCATGCTCATGGATAAGAAGAATCAATATCCTGAAAATGGCCATACTGCACAAAGTAATTTATAGATTCAATGCTATCCCCATCAGGCTACCATTGACTTTTTTCACAGAATTGGAAAAAACTACTTTAAATTTCATATGGAACAAAAAAGAGCCCACATAGCCAAGACAATCCTAAGCAAAAACAAAACAAAACAAAAAAACAAAGCTGGAGGCATCACGCTACCTGACTTCAAATTATATTGCTAGTCCTCAGTAACAAAAACTGTGTGGTACTGGTACCAAAACAGGCATATAGACCAATGGAACAGAACAGAGGCCTCAGAAATAACACCACACATCTACAACCATCTGATTTTTTACAAACCTGACAAAAGCTAGCAATAGGGAAAGAATTCCCTATTTAATAAATGGTGTTGGGAAAACTGGCTAGCCATATGCAGAAAGCTGAGAGTGGACTCCTTCCTTACACCTTATACAAAAATTAACTCAAGATGGATTAAAAACTTAAACATAAGACCTAAAACCATAAAAACCCTAGAAGAAAACCTAGGCAATACCATTCAGGATATAGGCATAGGCAAAGACTTCATGACTAAATCACAAAAAGCAATGGCAACATAAACCAAAATAGACAAATGAGATATAATTAAAATAAAGAGCTTCTGCACAGCATAACAAACTATCATCAGAGCGAACAGATAACCTACAGAATGGGAGAAAATTTTTGCAATCTATTCATCTGACAAAGGGCTAATACCCAGAATCTACAAAGAACTTAAACAAATTTACAAGAAAAAACAAACAACCACATCAAAAAGTGGGCAAAGGATACGGACAGACACTTCTCAACAGAAGACATTTATGCAGCCAACAAACATATGAAGAAATGCTCATTTCTTCACTGGTCATTAGAGAAATTCATCACTGGTCATTAGAAAAATACAAATCAAAACCACAATGAGATACCATCTCATGCCTGTTAGAATGGTGATCATTAAAAAGTTGGGAAACAACAGATGCTGGAGAGGATGTGGAGAAATAAGAACGCTTTTACACCGTTGGTGGAAGTGTAAATTATTTCAACCATTGTGGAAGACAGTGTGGCAATTCGTCAAGGATCTAGAACTAGAAATACCATTTGACTCAGCAATCTCATTACTGGGTATATACCCAAAGGATTATAAATCATTCTACTATAAAGACACATGCACATGTATGCTTATTGTGGCACTGTTCACAATAGCAAAGACTTGGAACCAACCCAAATGTCCACCAAGGACAGACTGGATAAAGAAACTGTGGCACATATACACCATGGAATACTATGCAGCCATAAAAAAGGATGAGTTCATGTCCTTTGCAGAGACATGGATGAAGCTGGAAACCATCATTCTTAGCAAACTGATGCAGGCACAGAAAACAAAACACTGCATGTCCTCACTTATAAATAGGAGTTGAACAATGAGAACACATGGACACAGGAAGGGGAACATCACACACTGTGGCCTGTTGGCAGGGTGTGGGAGTTAGAGAGGGATAGCATTGGGAGAAATACCTAATGTAGATGACGAGTTGATGGGTGCAGCAAACCAACATGGCACATGTGTATCTATGTAACAAACCTGCACGTTCTGCACATGTACCTCAGAACTTATAGTATATTAAAAAAAACTTAAAAAAGGAAATACAGTTATCACTAACAAAGCATTTCTGAATATATCATATAACATGATTAAGAAATGTCAGAATTATGCATATGAAATATATATCAGATGTAGTAATTAAAAAACGATGTTTCACAAATTGTTGAATTTCTGTTCATTTGTCTTCAATAGTCTTTACATTTCTTGATAATTGGATAATTTCTCTTAATCTGTCTTCAAGTTTACTGATTCTTCTGATATTTCAAATCTGCTATTGAGCCCCTCTAACGAATTTTTCATGTCAGTTATTATAGTGCAAATTTCACCTTGAGAATTCCATTTATAATTTTTTCTGTATACTATCATTAAACATGGTCTCATTAGTTCTTTGAACCTCTTTATAATAGTTGCAATGGAATTTTGTCATCTAAATCCAACATCTGGAAACACTCAGAGTCAGTCTCTCTTGATAATTATTCTCTATGGGTCCCGGTGATAGTTCCTTTTCATGTCTCCTCATTTTTTATTGAGTACTGGATATTTTAGCTAATTTATTGTAATACTCTGAATTCTGACATCCTCCCCCCTCTGGGTTGTTATTGTTGCTATTGTTTTGTGATTTAATAACTTGCCTAGACTTAATCTATAAAGTCTGTCTTCCACAGGCTGGAATTTAGTTCTAAATATCAGTGGTCTCTGGTGTGTGTGTGTGTGTGTGTGTGTGTGTATACTTTTAAGTTTTAAGTCTACTTTTACAAAGGTCATCATAACTTTCGATCAATCCAAAATTTGGTGGAGGTTGCGCTGAAACACCTTGAGCTAATAAAGTTCCCAGTATGCTTACAGATCTATGTGTTAGCTGGGGAGCAAATGTAAGCAGAATGAACGTTTTAAAGTCTCCTGCAGCTTCTACTTTCCATCACTCTCTCTCACATGTTGTCCATACATGCATACAGTGTTTGTTATCAGGCATGTGTGGCTGGCCTGGTCCCTTTCTATTAACTGCTGCACCAGCACGCTGCCTTCAGTCAACACAGGGTTCCATGGAGATTAGCAAGCCCCCTACAACTGTCTCACCACTCAGAACTCCCAGCTAAACTCCCAGCTAGTCCACTATCTGTTGCTTTCCACTAATTAGGCCTTCAAGCCATTGGTACTCCTTGTCCACTTGCCAGCTTATCGCCTGCATTGTTACAATATTATATTATTCTTGTTTCTTTAAAAGAGAGACAAAGAGTGAGAGAAAGTGAGAGCGAAAGGAAGAGAGACTTTTCAATTAAGTTTTCTTATGATCTGTAGCATGTTAAAATTTTCTTCCTATGGGTCCCATGCATTTCTGTAAGTAAATTCCTAATTGTTTTATAGTTTTAGTTGCCATATAAATGGGTTTTTTTTATTATAAGCATCATACTATTTTAATGGTTCAAGAAAATTTTTAATATAAAATCATAGCATTTCTAACAATGAAAAGATTGTTATTTTCATCATATTACTGCTTGCTCATAAAATACTATAATTGTCATCTTAAATTCAAACACGACTTCAGAATAAAGGTAATATAAATTCTATTCAAATATCATAAATATTTTATTAGGCAGTTAAAATCCCATTTATATTTTTATAACATCTTCAGAGATTTGAGCATCAGGACTTGTCTTGAAAAGGGAATTATTGTGTGTGTATGTGTGTGTGTCTGTGTGTGTGTATACTGAAGGCTGTCAATGCAGACTAATAAAGGAGCTTTACCCAAAATCGAACCTTTGCATTTTACAGATGAGAATTTTAAATATTGACAAAGGGAAGAGTGTATTATACTATTGCAATTACAGCATTTTAGATACAAATGAATTTAAATACTACAAATTCTTCTCCTTATTAAGGCACAGTAGGTTTTATTCATATTCATAGAGTATGGGAAACAAAATTAAGAAACAGGCAATTTCTAAATTTCTTAAAGGCCAAAGCCAAAATGGAACTATAAGCAATCATAAACTCAGTCACACATTCATTTTCTACTTAACAACTAGCAATGTTCTCTGTTCTCTTCTATACTTTTGTGTGTGCTTCAGAGATTTGGCTTAAATTCTGAAGAACACATTTCCCAGAATTTTTTGCTAGTAAATTCTAATTTACATTCCATCAGTCAGAGTGACTGCCATAAGATTTGGAAGTAGGAGGATGGCAGAATTCTTATTACACCTGTAGCATCTTTGCCCGGCACATGACTTTGGCAGTTGCACACAGAAGGCCTTTCAGCTGCTTTCCAAAATCTTCCAGGGAATCACTTGCTTTAGTACTATCAGGTCTGATATTCCTGCAGTGATTCATATGACTTCATACTTCCTCAAGATTTTTTTTTCTGACCTCTACAATGTTATTCCTTATAAGCATCTTGTAAGTATCTAATTTCTTGTTTTTATTTCTTGAGATATTTTCCAGAGCAAATTTCTGATACAGCATTTAGAGATTGACAAAATAGTTGGAACCTAAGATTGAGTATACGGCAGATGCATTCACTGTTCAACTACTATTCATGTGCTCCCTCATGTTGCCCAGATTCTTTTCAATTATGTGGGTCCTGATGTTTAGTTTTGCCATGGGTTCTAGGAGGAAGTTCTTGGCATAGCATCTGGTATAAAAACCAGAATATTAAATCATTTGTTCTCCAATGGCCTACATGTGTTCTTACAGGCAAAATAGGGTTTTGTCCTGAAGGATCAGGTATCTACCTGTTCTAGCCCTTTGAACAGTGTTGCACTAAGACCCAAAGTTAGATGTCAATGAATACCAAGGGCAATCTTTTATTTTATTTTACTTATAATTCCAGTGCAATAGAAATGATTTCATACTGTGTTTATGATTCATAATTACACAAACATAGTTCACACTCACAAAAATAAATGTGTACAGTTTATAAAATAGTATAAAAAGCATTTATTAAATGTTTATGGATTTATATTATATTATTATAATATAAATAATTAAATTATAATATAATAATGTTATTATATTATTGTTGTTTATAGATAATAAGTATGTCCTTGAGATAGAAGTTAAGACTTCTATGGCTCTATTAGTATTGAAAAAATTCTCTGTATTTTTTCTTTCATTCAACAAATATCTTTTAAGCACCATCTCTGTACTAGACATTGTTCTAAGTACATTAATGTGTGACCACATATGGTAGTGAGCTTGGTCTGCCATAACGTAATACCACAAGCTGGGTGGCTTAAACAACAAAAGTTTATATTTTCACAGTTCTGGAGCCTGGAAGTCCAAGATCAAGGTGTCAACGGAATTGCTTTCATTCCAAGGTTTCTCTCCTTGACTAACAGAGGGTGCCTTCTTGCTGTATCCTCGCATGGCCTTTTCTCTGCACACTCACAGAAAGAGAAGGGGCCCTGTTGTCTCCTCTTCTTCTCATAATGACACAAACCACATCGGATCAGAGCTCCATTCTCATGACCTCATGCAACCTTAATTACCTCCTTAAAGGCTCTAGCTCCAAAAACAGTCACATTGGGGGTTAGGGCTTCAGTGTACGAATTTAGTGGAGACACAATTCAGTTCATAATACCACACAAGAAAATTATTTTCTCAAAAGTGGTCTACATTAAGGAAATTGTAAAATATTTGGTTTCCAAAATGAAGCAAGACTTAGGAAGAGCACAAGCTTCTGTCATTTAAAATACCTAATGCTACAGAAAGAATTTCAAAGGAAAGTCTCCCAATTTTTAATATTAAAAAAGTATTTACACAAATTATATAAAAGTAGTTTGGTGAACTTAATGATGCAAGTTTTTCTAGTTTTTTACTTTCCAACACTTGATTAACTTTATTGCCAGTCTTTTTCTCCTAATTTCAAGATTTTAAAGTGTACCTACAAAACTGATCATCTTTAAAATGTAAAAATTATTCAATGTATGCCAAAATAAAAATCAGCACTTAAAAGTTATTTGACAGGTCATGTACTTTTGATCTTTGATATTAAGCAACTACTGAAACAAAGTAAATCTGACATTTTGTTGGACTAGCCTGTGTGAAAGAAGTATCTACTCTTTTGACTTTACATATTGTATCAGTTGGATTCATTAATTATGCCTGCATTTTGGAAAGTTTCCAATCGCTTGTTATTCTGACACATGTCAAAGAATATAGGGTGATTTAACTACGGTGTCAAATAAAGCAGCAGAAGAAAAATTTCAGGTCCCAAGAGAACCGTGATATTTTAAAACAGAAAGATTTATTATAAAATAAAATGCCTTTTATTCCTTATACAGATAAGAAGGAAAAATTGTTGTTTTATATATTATCTCATTATTTTATGGCCATATGACATTACAACAAAGTGAAAATTCAATATTTTTTATATTCCTTTTTACGTGCTTCCATTAAAAACCTATTCTCTTTACTTCTAACGTAAAATTTTTGATATGCTTATATTTTCTATGTTATACCTAATGAACTTTCATTCTTTTCTTTTTTATATTATAATGAGAGATAAAATAATAAAAAAAGACAATTTTTTGGTAACTCATCACTTAAGGCAAAATGTCTTCCTTTCACCTTAGTCTTTATTAGTGTTTCTCAAACTCTAGTGTGCATCAAAATTGGCTGCAGGACTTGGGAAAGCACAGATTGCTGTAGTCCGTCCCCTGAGTTTCTGCTTCATAGGTCTGGAGTGAGAGGTGTCTTTTTATCTTTCTTCTACATTTTCCATAATTTTCTCTTTCTTTGCCTAGTTCTGGGCAATTTCTTCATATCTCTCTTATAGTTCATTTATTCACTCATCAGTTATATCATCAATAAATATTTCTGAGCAAATGAATAATTGTTCAGCTCATTTTAGGGCTTGCTTTGCTCATGTATTAATCCAGACCCATGTGTTGTTGTGCCCTAGGACAGGTAACACAAGTCCTAGATTGTTCCTGAGTCATTTATTCATATGCTCTCCAGCAGCCCAGTCCTTCCAGGAAAGAAGTCTCGTCTTGGGCCATCTTTTTGTCATGTTACCCTGGTACAGTGGCCTGGCCTCCTTTGTGCCAGCTGCTTCATTAGTTGTACTAGTTTTCCATTGCTGTGTAATCACCACAGACTTGGTGCCTTCAAACAATCCAAATCTATGATCTCACGACATCCATGGGTCTGGAATCTAAGTATAGCATAGCTCAATTCTCTGCTGAAGATCTTACAAGGTTGCAATGAAGGTGTGGGCTGGGTTGTGTTCTCATCTGGAGGCTTGACTGGGGGAAAATATCTGCTTCCAATCTAATTCAGGTTGTTGGCAGAATGTATTTCCTTGTAACTATAGCACAAGGCTCACTGATCCTAGAAGTCACCTGCAGTTCCCTGCCACATGGCCCTCCCATAGGCAGTTCAGAGCACAGCAGCTGGCTTCTTGTAGCCAGCAGGAGAGTCTCTTGCTCCAGTCTGTTAAGATGGAATCTTATATAACAGAGCATAATCATGAGACTGATATTCCCTCAGCTTTTTTATGTGATGTTACCTAACAAAGGCAGTGACACTTACACATCATTGCCATATCCTATTGGCTAGAAGCAAATACAAAATTCTGCCCAGACACAAGGGGAATAAATTACCCAGGGGGAAACATCAAAGGGTGAAGATCATGATGGCCATCTTAGAACTTTTCCTGCCATATTAGATTTCTTCCAATAGCATCTTGCATATATTTGGCTCTGCTAGATAAAATCATCTTCCTCACAGCACGAATGGCTGATCTCCTGGTTTCTGCTTCACCTCAGAGTGCAGTTCTAATTTTTAGTCCCTGCTTCATCCAAAAAGTGTCAGTCTAACATTAAGTCTTAGCAATGTATCACAATCTCTCTGCTATATAGAAATTCTGATATAGGGGAAAGAATACAGACTTTAAAGTAAACAACATTGTCTTCTCATTCCAGCTTCAAAATTATAAGATGTAGAAAAATTTGGCAGTTATTTCATCTCTCAATCTCAATGTAATAATCTATAATGTGAGGATGTGAACAACAAACTAAGAAAAATGTGCTAATCCAAAAAGAAAAGCATTTAGCAGATGGCATGCACCTAATAATTGATAATTATCATCTCTTTTATTAATTCCCATGTTTCATAGATGCTGTCTTACATGGGTATAAAGCAAAGCTAGAAAAAATAATCACATGAATGCTTAGAGCTGTTTTATACCAGTAACTTGATATTATGTTCTTTGCTCTTTATAGGATGAAGTCAAAATTTGAATCACCAATGTTGTATGCACATCATTTTACCCAACCGAATTCACCTACTATTTCACTCCTCTATTTTAAGTAGACACAAATTCACATCTTTACATGATTAATAACTTAATAGATTAATTGGCATACTTTTGGCAATGCTTATAAAAGTAAGGACAGCTATATCTCTGGATTTTAAACCAGAAAGCTAAAAAGTAAAACTGCACAGGTCACTATGATCATTAAGTTCTTAATTTCATGTATTCATGAGTACAATTGAATATGGAAACTTGCTGTATCTTAAAAGAAGACCAAAAGTAGGGTCAATATCAGCAAGAAAATAGTTGCAGTTGCTGTTAACAAAAGCAAAGTTAAAGGTGGCTTCTTTCATCCTAACCTAAAAATTGTCTGAGGTGGGGCAGCCCCACGAATGGCAAGATGGATTTGTGGTCATCAGGGATCAGGGTTTCATTAACAAGGTATGAGGAAAGAATAAATCGTAGACTGCCCATCTTGGCCATGGTCTATTCCTTTGGGCAAATATTTTTTTTCCATATGTGGACAACCTCAAAATTTAATCTCCTCCATATCTGTGCAGTCCTCTTCACTACTTCCAGACAGTTTTTCTTTTGAATCAGTTACCTATAAGCTAAGAGAAAAACGTCTAACACATTCAATAAACAATGCTGAGAGAGGAAGACAGAAGTACCATATTTGAAACTACATTCAGAAAAGGAGAGATTGGGAAACTTTCCCAGTCCCTTGCTATGGCACTATTCATAGACTTCTGTAGGACAGTATAGATCGTTCCTGGGCTGCAGGGGTTTCTTCTTCGCTGAAAGTTTGTCATCATGATCTTCTGCCTTGGATAAACTCTCTTATTTGTTGTCCTTTGCATTCTGTGTTTGTCTTCCAGAAGTCTGTGTGTGTATATATCATGCATCTCTATTATCTGCCAAGAATAAAAGCAGCCCATCTCAGTTTCTCTTTCCTCTTATGAAATCTTTCTCAAGTTAGAGCTTTTCTCTATCCTTTTATATCTCATTGACCAGAATTTAGGCACATTGTTATGCCTAACTACAATGGGGACTAGAAAATGCAATCTTTTTCTTGAGCACCTCATTGCCTTTAATAAATCATAGCCCTCTTATTAAGAAATAAGAGGAGACTAGATATTAGGAAAATAGCTAACAATCATAACCCTTTAGGTTATCATCAGAATCCCTTCATAAGTATGGATGAAATATGATGGAATGCTATGGCCAGGATGAGAAATTGATTAAGATGATCATTGTTTCAAATTATTCTCCCCGCCCAACACATATTAGATTTATTTAAAAGAATTATAAAGCAACCTTGATAGTACACAATTTTATTCAGTATTATCGCTACTTAGCACTCTAGAGGGTGTGGACCATAGTAAGACTTCAGCAACGTTCTGATGGAGAGTAGATTAATTAGGCCAGGGATGGGTAACAGGTGCTCAAATGAAGATCCAGGTTGTGAAACCAGCATGGATCAATTTATAACATCTAATATACATTGATAAATTTGAGGTCAATTCAGGTGAGGTCAATTCAAACCTTCCACAAAACTTGTGATCTTCATGCCTTTTTATGACTATATTCCTTCCATTCATAGCAGAGCTCATAGTAAGTCAAATGGGGCAACTAATGTCTAGGTGATTCTAGAAGTTTGTCAATCAGATCATCCAGGGGTTCAGGAATGTTGAGTGAAGTGTGACAAAGGTTAGATGGGGGTTAGCACCCAGATCAATCAGGCAGTCTGCTGTCACTGCAGATAAACTAGAATAAGCTCAGAAAATCAAAGCTAAATCTAAGCTATGAGAACACACAAAGTGAGGGTGACAGTAGGCTAGCAGCTCAGTGGTATGAAGCATTCCTAGGGACTTACCACTGAAAGACCAGATATTAAATTTATGATACTAAAAAAATTCAAGTTCTCTATTTTCCATCCCTCCTCCAAAGCCATTTCATAAAGGTAATTTTTTAAACATTATTTACTTGCTCCAGAAGTATACGATATGGTCTATTCTTGCCTCCAGCATTTATATGTAGTTTTACCACTCACCTAGACAGGGAAAATACTATAACACAATGATAAGGAAGAAAGTGAAACAAATATACAGCAGATTAGGAGACCTAGGTTCTTCTCCTGACTGTTAGCTACTGTGTGATTTATGTGATTACTTTCTCTCATTCAATGCTTCCTTTTTTAATTGTGAAATGAAGACATTTGAATTGATGACCTCTAGATCTCTTGTCACTCAAAGCTTCCACAAACCCAGGGATTCAGAAAGCAAAAATTATTTTCAGTTTCTTTTAAAAAATGTGATCCCTTTGTGCTGTGATATTTGTACTATACTCCCATATGTGGTGGAAGTGCATTTCTGAGTGTCTATGAACAAATCCTATGTGTAATCATCACCCCTAGATAACAGCCCCAGTGGCCACTTCTGCAATTACGTAACTGTGGTCTCAGGAAGTTTCAGTGACTGTGGGATGGAGCTCTCCACTACAGAGAACCTGGAGTCAATATAGCCAGGCAGAAAGCAATATTATGCCTGCCCCTTAGACGCCCTCACTTTCATATAAATGTTGCCCACTACAATAGACAATGTGCCTTCCTCACTTCTGAGAAGATAATGACAAAGCCACTTGGGAATGCCATTTATGTTTCTCTTTTGATTCTGTTACTTACAAATTAATGGAATTCTGCCGAAGCTTCTCTCATTTGATGGCCTTTCCCCTTTTCTCATTTGAGTGAACAGAAGTAGAGGTAAGCACTAATCACAGTTCAACAGTCGTTAATTTGGCCACAAGCTTGCATTTATCTCTATAAGCACAAAAGAATAAGGAACACTCTGTAAATGGATGGTTTCTTTTAAACTTCATAACAACAGTGAGGTAGGAATTCCTTTCTACACATTTAAATATGAAGTAAAATTATATTTATTAAGTCAACATTGAATCAAATTCAAATTTTCTGATTCCAGACTCACAGAATGAAATGAAATTAGGTGATGAGGTAAAAAAGAAATGGAGTTAGTTACCTGATGACACTGCGGATTTCCAAGCTGTTATGGAACAAAAAGTAAATTTTAAATGAAAAGCATGGTCTCATACTGTGAAGTATGTTTAATGTGAAGATCAACAGGTAATAAGAGGTCTCTCTAAGAGCTTTTTCATTTCCTGAACTTGTCAGGGTGAGAATCCCACAGAGATTCCTTACAGAGGGAACTGTGTGGATTAAGTACTGGGTAAAGATGTTGAAATACAGAATGAAGGAAATCACTGATTCATTTGCAAGTGTGTCTTTCATTATCGACACGTGGATTATCTTGACAGTTTCTGAATAATCACATGGGTTTATTGAGAATTTGTATCTATAACACTTTTGAATTTATTTAAGCTTCTGAAACATTAACTGGGATGTTTCAAGCCATTTGAGTAGGACTCTATAATTTAGGAATGCTGCCAGCTGGATGCAAGAAAGTGTAAGATGGCAATAGAGGCTTGCTTGTCTTAAATAATAAGTCTAGAGCTTCATGGTTGATGGCATTATTCCAGTAGTTTCTATATATCAAGACTAGTGCTCATTTATTAATTCTCTGTTTCTTTATTGTCACAGACCACCACCTGCTTCTGTAGGGATCATATCTGCCCTATAGGAAGAGATAAAGACAGGAACACAGATGCTTTACAGGTAGTGTGTTTCATTCCTTCAGGAAAGCAAAATGTTTTCTGCAATTCTTACCCGGAAGATTTATTTTGTTTTGTTTTTAACATATTCTTGGATAGAGTTATTAACATGGACGCCTCTTGCTGCAAGGTGCTTAGGTAGCAGAAGGTCAAAGATGGTGAGGTAACAGGAAACATTATGTTGTCAAATCAGACACATATGAATAAGAAATCTTACCCTACAGTAATCTTACTAGTAATTTTAAGAATGCAGGCAATCAAGAGGCTCAAAAGAAGCAGATAGAGGTCTAAAAAATCAAGGTAACTCCTTGGGTCTTTTTTGTTTTTCTTTTCCTGCACTGTATACATGCTTTCTGACCAAGAATGGTTAAGGTTTCTAAGATAGATAGTTATAGGGGGTATTACCTGACACAGAAGAAAGAATTCAGTCTATGAATCATCTCCATTTTATACCTGGGCTTATCTGACATTGTTCAGGGGGACAGTCTTCATAAATCCATAAATGATGATTCTTTCTTTCTCCTTGCCCTCCTTTAATTCCTTCTCCACTCCTCTCTCCCTCTGCTTGCCTCTTCCTTCTCCTCCTGCCCTTCCCTCTTTTTCTTCTCTCTTTTCCTATTACAAGGAATCTTTAACCAGAGACACCCTTATTTAGTAGATGAAAACTCTTTTCCTAACAAATATTATTAGTCTGTTTGCTCATAAGTCCAGTTATTATGCCGTCAAGTGTATTAGATTGGGTCACCTGTCTTTCTTTTCCTTCTCCTGGGATTCTTCCCCTAATAAAGAGAGCAAATAGATTGTAGGCTAGTTGCTTTAACTTCTTCATCCTTAGACATTGTTTCAGACACAGAGGTGATAAACTAATTGCATTGATTGATATCAAGCATTCTATAACCTTTTCTTTAATGGAGCCACTTTTTTTTTTTTTTTTTTAAAGAGTCTTACTCTATCGCCCAGGCTGGAGTGCAGTGGCATGATCTCGGCTCACTGCAACCTCCACCTCCTGAGTTCAAGCGATTCTTCTGCCTCAGCCTCCTGAGTAGCTGGGACTACATGTGCACGCCGCTACAACTGGCTAATTTTTATATTTTTTGTAGAGACAGGGTTTCATCATATTGACCAGGCTGGTCTTGAACTCCTGGCCTTGTGATCTGCCTGCCTTGGCCTCCCAAAGTGTGGGGATTACAGGCGTGAGCTACTGCACCTATCCCAATGGAGCATCTATTTGTAAAATAACCAATTTAGACTCAATATGATTATTTCAATGATGTTTATGTTGTATGAAAATAGCATTATTCATGGGAAAGAGCCTTTTTTCTACATCTTGACTTACACTTTGCCCCTTTCCTTCCACTATTAACTATGAAAAATAATTTATTTTGCTAGCAACTCAGGTGAAGTTTCTTTTTCTGTTTTCTTCTTTAAAAGCCTATTTACTTACACATATTTTTTTCATTTGACAAATACTGGACACATATATACAAAGAAAAGTGCTGGATGCTAAAATCACATTAATAGTTATTTGGCTAAATGTCTTTCATTACATTAACAGATGTGGTCTTTGCCCCTTACAGACCTTATAGTCTTGTAGGAGAAAAATCAAAATGTGAAGAAATCATAATATTATGTAATTATGAAATTTGAGCAGGGCTATAAGAAAAACATATGGTGTAATACTCAGGCCTAATAGTGACATCCTCTTAGGAAAAAGATCAGGAAAGGTTTTTTTTAGGGGTTTCTTTGAAGCCAAAATATAAAGGAGGAAAAGAAGTAGCTACAAGAAAAGCAAGCTGAGAGAAAAGCAAGCCGAGAGAAGAGAGTGGAAAAAATATTGATTTATTATCCCATATGCTTTTAAAATTTCGTCCCATAATGACTTTCCAAACCAGGTGTAATTATTCCATTTTGCAGGTGAAAAATCAGAGTTTAAATAATTAGCCAACGTTAATCGATTAGGTCTTCAAGGCTGGATGCAATTCAGCCCACCCATGTATTTAGATCCAGAACTTTTTCCATTTCCACAGGAAATGTTTCTAGAGTCCACTCTCAGCAGGATCTCAGTTTATACAGATCTCTGAACTCAGTGGCCTTCAAAGTTTTCTACTTCTTGGTGTCCCTTGCTTGTATCATGGAGTCTTTGGACATCTATGTCTAAAGATCCTTAACATTAATGCTTGGGTCTTTAATGTGGTTTGGGCTATATGAATGTGGAATGTTTGATTTACATTTCTGTGAAATTTCAGTTCAGTTTACTGTATTCAAAAGGCTGCTGACTGAAATTAATATTTTGAGGATTTTTGTGAAAGTTTCCAAACTCAGAACATGTATAGGCAGCAACAATGGAGGCAGTGAAATGAGCAGTATTGGATATCTTACTATATGAAACATACCTTCTTAATATATGCATCCCATGAGCTTCACTGAGTTCCAGACACAAAACAGATATTCTATTTCTGTAATATGGAACACTTTTATTTTTTTAGACTATTCAGACACAATATATCATTCTAGGGTAATATTCTATTAAAACATCATATTTCTTCACTTATGTATCATTAAACAAGTATTTATTGTGATCTAATACGATGAATTCATTCTATGTGATATACAATTCATTATAAGAACATTAACATATATTTGTTCAAATGGAAATGTTGAGATAATTAAGACACTGTCTCTGCTCACTTCCTACACTTAGAATAAAACTGCGTATTTAACCCTGGTGGCAGAAGATGGGCCTTCACCAATCATTACCTATTTTCCTTTGGAGAGTTTAGAATTAGACTCAGCCTTAGTTTCTTTACTTGTAAATTGGGAAGTTAATATTAATAGTTACTTGGCTAAATGGCTTCCATATTTGACACAATGCCATTTACTGTCCCTGTTGCCCTAGGCCCTAGAGCTACCACCTATGATGTGTGAATATTCATGAGGATAGAGTTAAATATGGTTTGGGCTTTTCTTAATAACTGATTGGCTTGAGATTATCTAATTTAACTGCTGTTTATGTTTCCTCATCTATAAATTATCATGATGAGCAGAAGTAATATTTTTTATTACTTATCTTGTTTTCGGTAATCAATAAACAATATTCCCTTGAGCCTCACAACAAACTTAAATTATGCATTATTATTTCATAGATGAGAAATAATTGAATCAGGATTTTTGACTTTTATCCATCTGCCTTAACCACTATCTTATACTACCTCTCTATGATATTAAGCTTTGATACTATGAAGTTACTAGTAAGTTGGCCTTTGCCATCGCAGAATTTCCATAAAAAGCACTTACAGGATAACTTCTGAACCTACCCTGTGTGTGTGGGTGTATGTGCGTAGGATGTGTGTGTAATCATTTTATAGCTTTGAGTATTGCTTATAGGTCCCAATGCCCAGTCTACATACCTTCTCCAGGAATATTGGCACAGTACTGTCTATGAAGGAGGTAAGATTTACATGCATACCTTGTGTACCACTTAGCAGAAATCATAATCAGGGTCACTTTCTAATCTATTCATCAAGGCTGAACCTCATTTATGAAAGGAATATTGTTAAATCTCCAAATGACTGGGTAATATTCAGTCTGGGCTACTGAACCTAATACTATGTAGGAACACCAATCTGAAGCCTGAGCCACAGGTAAATTATTAATATTGAGTGCAAAGTGTCCTAGATCTGATATGCAGTCAAACTGACCAAGGTTGCAACTTGATTTCTCCTATATAATTATTTGATGGTCCTTGGCTAATTTCATTCCTTACTTTGGGAAATTATAAATTTCATCTGAAAACATTATTTTTCTCATTCCCATCTGTAAGAAAATTGTGAGGATTAAGTGAGATCCCATACAGACCACAAAGCATTTTGCTTGGGATAAAATATGTACTTAATATGTGTAAGTTCTTTTCCCTCTAAAAACATTCCCATTCCCTCCCTCACAATACCTGTCCAGTCTTATTTTGAAGATCACTAGAATGTTCACTATCATTTCCCATGTCCTTAAGGTAGGAAAAAGGTTAATGTTATGAGAAGAGCTAATAAATGACCTAGAAGCACTTTGCTATTACAAATTGCTAATATTGTATGAATCTATGATTATAGACCAGCAAGTGGAATGTGAGACATTCTTATTATACATATCATAATTCTGCACACTTCAATCAAGGCCCTTCTCACCTCTTTCTATCTAGACTAAATCATCCTAATTGGTCTGCTCTCTTGTCATGTGCAAGCTTTGCATTATCCTTGACAATCTATGTCCCTTTTCCATCATGTTAATAAGGTTATTCACTTATTTAGAGAAAAGGCACATCTGGCTCAGGAATTGAACCTGGATTAATGGAACTCTGCTATTTTGGATCCTGGAAATCCTTTTCTTTTTTCCATGTTAAAGAAGTCTAACATTTGTATGGAATAAATGGGGATCAGATGAATGGGAAGCATCATCATTCAAGTCCTGAGCCCATGCCAAGGCATCAGGTCTCCCTGCTTCTGGCTGACAGAGCTCATAAAGATTTCCAGCTTCCCTCCTGGGTAAAGGCAATAGCATAGAAACACACAAATACTCTGAGAAGCAGTCATAAGTCCAGCATCCCAATTCTGAATTCTATACATTTGTCCTGTAATTCTAACCTCAACTTTTTAATCAGGCACTACCTCCATTTTAACAGAGCATATGAGAAGAGATGTGACTGATTGAAAAACAAGTAGTTCTTTTCAGCCAAGTACTCTGTTAACTATTTTTTTTTACTAGTACAATGTCACTCTTCACTCTTTACAATAAAAATTGACTAATTCAGAGCTCTGATGAAATTTACATTTTGGGTCATACATTTCAAAGCCAAATATATTGGCCAGATTTCCAAAGCAAAGTTGTAAAAGTCTTTGTGTTACATTCTGAGCATGGAAATAAGAGTTTAAGGAAAAATAACAACTACATTCAATTAAATAATAATATATTTACGTCAAAATGAAGCAAAGGAATGGAGTAAATTTGACATAGTATTAGAAATTAATTTCATATTATAGCGGTTATCTCTATAAGCTACTAAATATTTTTTGTCTTTTTATGAAATACTAGAAGTTACTAAATACTACTTACCTGTATGTTCAATACTATTATATGTCTATACAGTCATGCATTGCTTAATGGTGGGGATACATTCTGAGAAATGTGTCTACTGTTAGGTAATGTAATTGTTGTGCAAACAGCATAGAGTATAATTACACAAACCTACATGGCATAGCTTACACACCTAGCCTAAATGATATAGCCTATTCCTCCTAGGCTATAAGCCTGAACAGCATACCATACTGACTCCTGTAAGTAATTGTGACTTAATGGTAAGTATTTGTGTATCTAAACATATCTAAACATAGGGTACAGTAAAAATGTAACATTATTATCTTATGGGGCTATCATTGTGTAGGTGGTCCTTTGTTGACAGAAATGTCGTTATGCAACACATGACCATAATTCTACAATAGACTCTGTTCTTTCCATGGTCTAGCTATCACAGAGGCCTAGCACATAGTTGCCCAAAAGATAAACTTATGTTCAAAGATCAAGCGGTCCTACAAGATGAGTTCTCTAGAAGTGTCAGAACAGAAGAGAGAAACGTAGAAAGAAACCAAAATGACACTTTAGACCTTTTCTTTTATAGGACAGTGTTTTTTTTTTTTTTTCTGTATTACTGGATGGCTTAGCTTTGTAAACAATGGAAATTGACAGGGTATAAAGATAGTGAATATCTAAACATGGAGAATACCTTTTCCCTAAGAGCCATTTACTCACATAGTAAGGGTAATGGAGTCTAGAACGGTCATTCTTATTTTCCCTGAGATAATTGCTTACATTACAGGATAGAGATCTCTTTTTCTTCTCTTCAAGAGAGGATTTGTTTATGTTCCAGGGTAAAATATAAGTTCTCTCTCCTTTTCTAAAATTTTAATGTACACATTTCTCATTGCATATATTTACTGTATTAGTCTGTTTTCACGCTGCTGATAAAGACATATCTGAGGCCAGGCAATTTACAAAAGAAAGAGGTTTAATGGACTGGCAATTGCACATGGTTCGGGAGGCCTCACAATCATAGCGGAAGGCAACAAGGAGTCACGTCTTGCGTGGATGGCAGCAGGCAAAGAGAGAGAACTTGTGCAGGAGAACTCCTCTTTATAAACCATCATATCTCAGGAGACTTATTCACTATCAGGAGAACAGCACAGGAAAGACTTACCCTCATGATTCAATCACCTCCCACCTGGTCCTTCCCACAACATGTGGGAATTCAAGATGAGATTTGGGTGAGGACACAGCCAAACCATATCAATTGACCAGTTATATTTCCTCTTATAGTTTATGTTTCTAACACAAAAATTGATAAGTGCTTGATCTGATGGATATGCTAATTACCCTTATTTGATCACTATACATTATTTGTATCAAAACATCACTATGTATACCAAGAATATGTATAAATATTATTTATCAATTAAAAATACATAAATAAAGGTGGAAAAAAGAATTACTCAAAGTCGAGGCTGTAAAATAAAAAGATTTGCAAATTTGAAAAAAAAAAGCCTGTTCACATTACTTTCTCATTTTTCTTAAAAAGCTGTAATGATTATATATTCTGCATACTTACCCTTTATTTACATGCGTGTGTTGCAAGCATTTTCTCCTACTCTAACAGCTTGTCCTTTAACTTTGTTTATGGAATTCTCTTCCTTGTGGTTATTAAAAGAAACATTTGAAAACTTCTGGCCTAAGTGTTAACTGCATGGGCCATTTTTGTGCTCTCAAAGAGCCTGAGTGATAACATACACCACTTTCTTCACTGTATGCTCCTTTCAGCAGGACGGGGCTTCTGAGTCATGAGCACATGTTCTTTGTAGAGCACCAGCACTGCTCCACATGATAGGAAAGACTGGTCCCTAAAATATTGCTAATGGACCGTGAAACTTAAACCCAACTCAATAACACTCCACTTCCGCTGCAGTCACACTTTACATAGGTATCTCTTTAGGATTTTATAGAGTGCTTTCTTTTTTGAAAAATAAATTTTTTGGGGTATATTTAAAGTTTACAACATGATATTATGGGATACATGTAGATAGTAAAATGGTTAATATACTTAAAGCAGATTAACGTATGTATTATTCCAGCAGCTTTTATATACTCTAAATTTTAAAAAATTTTGGAGTTTTTCTTCTGTGGTGTGAATCCCGCTGCATTTTCAGGTGAGATGAGGCTCTCAGAGCATTTTGTTTTAGGAAGCTGAGGCATTCAATAATTATTTTACTTTGTAGTACTTAGTAGGCGCTTAAACATAAAGATCAAGAGATTTCATGTATGTGTATATTTATAGAGAATATATAAAACTGTGATAGTCTAGCTTATGAGCATGCACACGGGGTAGCTCAGACCCTTAGGTTTGGGTGTTAAAAACCTGATGACATTCTTTTTTATAGTTTTATTTTTTTTGTGTGGTAGAATATACATAAAATTTACCATTTAAATCATTTTACAGTGTCCATTTGAGAGACATTTAGCATGTTTACAATGTCATGCAATCATCACTGCTATGTAATTCTAGAACATTTCCATCACCCCAGAAGAAAATCCCATAGCTATCAACAGTCACTCATTTATAAGAGGTGATATGGAGGCAGAAAACTCAGAACTAAACACAATGCCCAGGGATTGGCCAGCAATCTGAGATAGGATTACCCTGTCAATGCCATTTCATATCATTTCCAGAGGAAATACAAATGAAATTGACTATGTAATTGGCCCTTGTTTGACTCCTATGGCCTTCTTGTTTAGTTGGCATACTGTTATGCTATGCTGCCTTCTCTTCTCCCTCGGGTACCTAAGAACTAGAACACAGTTTTATTTCTGGACAGACTATTGTTATAGTTGTTGCCTTTTCCTGTCTCTCCTCTCGAGTAGCTAGAATAGAAAATCATGAGGGGAATTAAGAGATCCTGTTACGTGCTCTGGTGGTAGTGCTTTGCATCTTTACCCTTCAGCTCCCTTCTGGTTTCTCAAGAACCACTGAATTAAAAGTGCTAGTGGAAACTGTGGCATACCACTGCGCTGACCTTGAATAATGGAGAAAGTAGAGCTATAAACCTTGCATGCTTAAAAGATTATAGGTCAAAATGCTCCCACTCCACCGCCTCCGTACACAAACACAAAGAAATCTAATAAAAAGTAGAACTTGATTTCCATTTATTCATCATTCACTTATTCATTCACTTTTCCATTTATTTTTTCCTTCAATTAGCAGATAGAGCCACTTAACTGTTCTATTAGCCTTGACTTTGATCCCTATCAATCTGTTTATGCTGCTGCCAGAATGGTCTTTTCCAAATACGAATTGAATCATAGTCATTATGTCCCACCCACATTTCCCATTTCCTTGATGAAAAATACCCAATGGTTATCTTCTTAACATCTACACTTCCTTACAGATCTTAACATGATTTACAAGACATAATAATCTGTACCTTCATCCTGCTACTCCCAAGTGGATTTATATGAGAACTTTCATCACATTGTATATTCATTGACAACTTGGAGTACAGTGTGGTTGCAGAGGACACGTGCAAAGAGTCATTCTCTTTGTCATCAATATCCATATTTGAATAATTGACATCATGTTCTATATCAAATCCATCCAAAGTAAATTAAATCCAATTCTAAATGGAGAACTATTCAAATTATATGGATATATGTGTATGTATATATATATGTGTGTGTGTGTGTATGTGTGTGTGTAATAGAATGTAAAGTATATTGTTTCAAGAATATCAACCAAAAATTTATTGTCTCACAGTTAAATGACACCTTTTATCTGCATCTCAAACCACTTTATATCCAAATATAATTTATATTCTATACTATAATAAAGAAAAATATTTGTTAATATTTTTCTCAATGCAAGTGATGGCTCATATAAAATATTGACTGAATTCTGTTGAATGAGTATTGCTTCCCTGAAGTACTTTATTGGGAAGGATTAAGATGATAATGTATTTAGGAGGAAATATCATGAGTGCTGAGGAATGGCAGCTCATATATTTATTATCCCTAGCTATGGTTTATTCTGCAAATTTTTTGAAGTTATAAAGTCTCTCATTTATTTCTCATTCTCAGCATCTGGAGACTACATAGTATAGGGACTAAGTGCTTAGTAAATTCTGTTGAATGAATTAGTAAATGAATAATTCAATGAATAATTGAATAATATAGTAAAAAATAACGTGGTAAGAGCTATTTTTTATTCTTATTTAATCTCATGTATATAAAAATAATTTATTTTTATAAATTCTTGTATAAAAAAGAATTTATTTTTATATATAAGAGTTAAACAAACAAATGAAGCACAATAATTTACAATAATTTATGTAACCCAGTGGAGCTCAAACCTTAGCAAGCATCAAAGTCCCCTGGAGAGCTTCTTTAAACACTCTCTAGGCCCCAGCTCCAGGGAGTGTGATGCAGTAGGTTTTGGATGGGGCCTGACAATTTATATTTCTAACAAGTTCCTAAGTGATACAGCAGCTGCTCCTACTGTTTCCAAGACCACAGTGGCTGTGAGAACCATTGATATGACCAAAACCATAGATACATTAGATACAAGGACATCCAGGAGGTCAAATTGTTTCATGGAGACACCATTTTCCTTTCTTTATCTTTTGACTCTGCTTTCCTCTGTAGTGAACTCATCTTAAGGCAAAGGTTGCTAGAAGGATCTCTTAGCACACACAGTCATTACAACTATATGTCTCAGAGGAGTAGGAGGACTCCTTTCTGAGGGTTTAAACAAAATCTCAGGGCTGATTCTGATCACCCCATGTAATTGACATCCCCATCAGATGAAACGAGAGCAGTTCCTCAAAAGGAAATTAAATGCCGTTGGGCATTTAATTAAGTAATATATCCTTTGCCCACCCTTTTGAAATTGTGCACATCAAAGCCAATGTGTGGTGCCATAGCCCTAACCATGTGTGTGAGTGTAGGGCTAAAACTGAATTAAAAGGCTACTTTCTCCCAATCCAGAGTTTCTTAGAACTTCCTATTTACCTGTGTTCTTCTCATTCTTCTCTAACATGGATCTAAAAGGTTTCCTAGATCTTACAAGAAAAATCCATCAGGATAAGATCTAAATAGTCAGGAAGATATTCATTAGGAACACTTAAAATAATTTTAGTCAAATTGAAACAGGAAACATAAAAAATTCATTTGACTTTCTTGAACCAGAATGGCTCAGATAACTGCTGTCAAAATGGTTAATAGAAATTGCATTAAAGTGCTTTGCTTCTTTATGTAAAAATTAATAAGTGAAAGCACAATAAGAACATATGTATTTTATGGGCCAAAGGTTCTTTTTGAGGAGCTGTGTTGAATACATTGATGTAATTATTATAAGGCAGTCCACCATTTATCTCAAGATAGATATAAAAAGTTCCCCTTCCTTATCATTATAGCTGACATGGCAGTAGTGGATAATATCATATCCACGATTGCACACTTCTCTGATTAGTTAAAATGAGTACAATGATTTTCACACATGTTGCATCCTTCCTGTAACTATATCTCCAGTCTCTTTACCCTGATAGGACAGGGGAAGAAATGGCATGGGTTGCTGATGCTGTACTTTCTGCACTCCTGGGAATCCTGAAGATACCAATTCCTCTCCTTTCCTTGCGGGATTCTGGGTTTCAAATGTTTTCTTTACATAATTTTGCTGCTGCCAGGCCCTCTGCCCTAGAGGCCCTTTTAGGTTTTGTTTTGTTTTTGTTGTTGTTGTTTTTTTCTATCAGCTGCTATTTGTATTACCTCCTTCAGAACAACTGTATCTCATCAGGTAGCTGTGGTGAGTTTATCCCCTGTGAGAAAGTACGTGTCAGATAATCTTTGAAATAAGAGGATCCTCACTGAGTAGAGAATTGTACAGCATCTAGTAAGGAGGCTGGTGTGATTGTCAACTTTCCCAACAGAGGGCAAGCTCCTGATCTTATGCCGGTCACATGTCCCACCTCCTCCAGCCAGCCTATCCAAGATTATGAAATTTTTCACTTCCCATTTTGTTTGACCATGAGTCCATCTATGTTTTCTTCTCAGATCCTAAAGGATCCTCAGAGGAATAATGACAAAAGTAGCCAGGCTCCTGAATTGAATAGTTATTATTTACCAGAGCCTAGTTTAATCCATATATATATATATACACTCACACACACATCTTTTATCTTCCCAACAACCATATATGGTGGTTATTATTATTGTTAATATTTAATTTTTTTTTTTTATTTAGATGAGGTCTCATTCTGTTGCCTAGGCTGGAGTGCATTGGCGTGATCATAGCTCACTACAGCCTCCAACTCCTGGGCTCACTTAACCCTTCTGCCTCAGCCTTCTGAGTCACTGGGATGACAGGTGTGAGCCATTGCACCTGGCTCTGGTTATTATTATTAGCCTCATTTTATGGTGAGGAAAGTTAGACTTGGAGAAATTATGTAATGGTCCATAATTGGAAGAATTATGGTCAAGACCATGCTGTTTATGTTTGAGTCTATATGCTTCACTGTGGTATTATACAATCTCCCAAATAGGCTTCTGGTAGCTATAGTAATTGAGGGAGGCTAAACTGCTCTGACAGACAGCACCCCAAATGTATAGTGATTAAGAACACATAAGATTTTTTTTTTTCATGGAATCGAGGTGAAATTCAAGGGAGGGTGGGAAATAAAGCCTAGATGAGCACCTGGAAGGAAGGGACAGCTAGTAGTCCTTAGTACAGCAACATCTGAGAGTCCATATTTTCCAAAATGAGTATGAAAAATCGAGCCCCACTAATTTTTTAAAAAGTGAAAATAAAACCTGTAAAGGGACAGTGACCTCTAAAGGGAATAGAGTACAGTGCATGTCACATAGGTTGATTATTAAATATCGGTTGAATGAATGAAAGAATGCAGCCCTCTCCACTTATCTCTAAATTTATACAGAATCATACATCATTTCCAGGTTTGCTCCATTTTTGTTTATAATTTCTAAACAGTATATGTTAATATGTATAATTAGACAATGTGTACATGAAGGTCTTAACAAGTACAACTTTGGTATATTCATACAACATAGCGATTCCCATAAGTGACAAATTGAGCTAGTTAAAATAATATCCAGATGCCCCCTTTTTAAAATTTTATATGCCCAGAGGATAAAAACACAATTTGTGAGGGTTATCTGTTTCTTCATTAAGAAGTATATTATGTGGCAAAATGTAACTTGATTTATATGGTACAATGTCACATAAATTAAGCACACAATATGTAACTTTTTTTTCTGTGCAATGGTCTTTCTCTTTAAATAGCTCTTAGTTTGCTGCAATAAACGAATATTATGATTTCACAGGCACTGACTAAGAAAGAAATTTAATTAACATGAGTAATTTTAAAATTCATTTAAAATCTTGCAGGCCGGGCGCGGTGGCTCACGCCTGTAATCCCAGCACTTTGGGAGGCCGAGGCGGGCGGATCACGAGGTCAGGAGATCGAGACCATCCTGGCTAACAAGGTGAAACCCCGTCTCTACTAAAAATACAAAAAATTAGCCGGGCGTGGTAGCGGGCGCCTGTAGTCCCAGCTACTCGGGAGGCTGAGGCAGGAGAATGGCGTGAACCCGGGAGGCGGAGCTTGCAGTGAGCCGAGATCGCGCCACTGCACTCCAGCCTGGGCGACAGAGCGAGACTCCGTCTCAAAAAAAAAAAAAAAAAAAAAAAAAAAAATCTTGCAGTGAAATATTTTATGGACAGTGAAGGTAGTAAATTATTGATTGGCTAATCAAATTCTCAATTACTGACTAACTGATGAGTTGTCATCTCTTCAGTAACAGATATTCTCTAGGTGCAATGGCTAAGGCTGACTCTCTCAACATCCATCACACTCCATTACAAATTAGAGATTTCTTAAAACTCTGCCATTCATTTCTAATCACAAGATTTATGAAGTTATGAATTTAAGATTATGAAATTTTAAATCTTGTAAGTTTCTGTTCACAATCACACCCACCTTAGATCAGGTCCCCTTTTGTGGGTGTCTAACATGTCTGGTGTTCAACAAGACAGCATCAACAATTGCAAAGACTCAGACTCATTATCAACACAGCGACTGCCTTTCTACCTCAGTCCCAACCACATGTATAAGAGAATGAGAGAACTCCTGCTAAGTCAGTTCCAATCAAAGCTAGAGCTGGTATTAAATAAAATCTCAGGCTGTTAATCTATCGCTAATGTGATCCCTCTTCTACATGGTGGGTAAAGTCTGGTATTAGCTGCTGTTTTTATGTCCACTGTCCAGGGGGTCAAGAATTATAAATTTTTTACCTTGTGATCGATTGGAGGTTTTTTTTTTTAAGATGAAGAAAACCAAGGCTTGAAAAAACAAAACAAAAACAAAAAACAAGAAACAAAAGAGCAACAATTCAAGTTCCTGTTTTATAAAACGAAATCATAATAATTATGCTCTTTTAACAGTCCCAATGCTTGTTCATCCAGGTTCCAGATTTATTGACTTAACAAATATTTACTTATCACATGACATTTTGAATGACATGTCTTTAAAGAGTTTTATATAGGGCATTAAGAGAAGTAAATAGGCAACTTTAATAAAAGGGGATAAATCTTTTGATAGAAGGATTGAGGAACACAGGGACAGAAAAAGAGGCAATAGGATGAGGTTCTAGAGGGGCTTAAAGATGTCTTTCTCATAAATGTGATATTTCAAATGAGGACTGAAGATAAAGAATGTTGGGGAGAATTTTCTAGGTCAGGATTTCTAAAACTTTACTTATATGCCAATCAAGTTTGTGACTTTTATCAAATTTATCTTCATTCAATATTATTATTTACTGACTAGTTATTTTTTATCAAATAATTTTTTTAAATTAAAATTATTTTGAAAGACAATTTTACGTCATTTCCATAAGAAGAAAATCAAAACCATGTTTTGTGAGCAGAAGGTATTTTGTGATAATAAGTATGTTAACACAAACATGTAATTAAACCTCAGTTAATTACTGCCGTCTGCAGATGGCTGTGAGCCTAAGACCTCCTCTTGCGCACTAAAAGAAAATATTAGTAATCATAGTGTTAAGCAAACAAATTCACTTAATATGAAAGTGAGACTTTCTCACTGATGTAATCTGGTTGATTAGAAGATGAACCTTTCTAACATTGTGAGATGATTTTCAAAGCTCTGTCTGAGCATCAGTCTAACATTGTTCTTATACCACTTGTGGTACAGGTCTCAAATCTGTGGAGACTCACATGGCTGAGGCATAGAAGAGAGAAGCAATTAGGATACAGAGGCAAGAAAGAAGAGTTGGTAACCTAGGAATTATTATTATTATTATTATTGAGAAGGAGTCTTTCTCTGCCACCCAGGCTGGAGTACAGTGGTACAACCTCAGCTCACTGCAATCTCCACCTCCCAGGTTCAAGCGATTCTCCTGCCTCAGCCTCCTGAGTAGCTGGGATTACAGGCATGTGCCACTACGCCCAGCTAATTTTTGTATTTTTAGTAGAAATGGGGTTTCAGCATGTTGGTCAGTCTGCTCTTGAACTCCTGACCTTGTGATCCACCTGCCTTGGCCTCCCAAAGTGCTGGGATTACAGGCATGAGCCACCGCTCCCAGCCCTAGGAATTATTTATTATAAGTTAAATATGATTTTAGGGGAGCAAAATTGAAACCAACTTGGCAAAAATTATAACTGAGGGAATTGTGACAGTGAAAGAAGTCACACCCAATGGACTCCATCTTGCTTCTAACATTCACGCTGTCCTTGTTTCTTCCTGGGCATAGGCGGAACTAAATTTGGGCAGGAATTCAGTTCATCGTTTGACTCTGAAAAAAAATTGATAATAGCCCTTTCCTGAAAAGACCCACTTCTTGCCTGGGGTCCAGTCTGCCTTTGCAGGACTAACACATTAGCTACAAGTTTAGAAATTAAAATTTAGGGGTCATGCAGCCTCTGGCTCCAGGTGTCTGAATCTCCCCAAATTGCTTCTGGGGATAACAACACTATTGTAAAACCTAAGATCAGTGCTTGAAATATTTTGCAGACTCTGCACTGGATGGATCAGCTGACACCACCCAGATCAGTAATCTGGCTCAACTTGCTCTGCCATCCTACCCAGAACAGAAAACAGCAAGAAAACCTCACTTCAACCCTGAGAGATTCCATCTCCAACCTGACCAATCAGCACTCCCCACTTCCCAAGCCCCTACCTGCCAAATTATCTTTAAAAACTGATCCTCGAATGCTCCTGGAGACTGATTCGAATAATAATACAACTCCGGTCTCCCACACTGCCAGCTCTGCGTGAATTACTCTTTCTCCATTGCAATTTCCGTCTTAATAAACAGCCTCTCTCTAGGCCGTGGGCAAGGTGAACCCACTGAGCGGTTACAAATTTTCAGAATTGGAGATAGCAATGTAAAAAGTGGTCTGATCATGCAGGACTTTCAAAGCCATATTCAGATGCTCCTTGAGGGTTACTGGTGCAGAGAGCAGCACACGTCTGGTTGAGAAGATGGCCTGGTGTGGAATGATGAGCATTTTTCCAGTGCTTCCTAATGTACCAATCATCACTATCCCTGCTTTGGTCATGCCATAGGCCTTTGATTCATGAGCATAACTTTGTAATTCATTTATCGTCTGATGGATGCTCAAGTAAAGTATGCAGAATTAATATATTTTAAACTTGTTTTTAGGCAAAGAAGCATTATTAAGCATCAAATCATTGAAAAATGAAGGCTCTTATTTAAATCCAAATTGGGAATATCAATAGGAAGATGACATATCTTTTTCAAGGTCAAAATGCTTATAGTAGTTACTCCTACATTGATTAAGAATGAGTTTTTCAAGTATAGAATTTAAAAGGAAAAAGATGAGATCTGTGAATAATGCTCTTGGGAATATGGAATAGTTATGATTTATATATATTTAAGCATCTCGAGGAAAATACTGACATTTTATCCTTCTTTGAGCTATGAATTTCTTTCTAGCATAAAACTGAAAGCTCTGGACTTCATTGAAGAGAATTCTGCTACATTGTATCTTGTAAATAGTTGTGTTCTAACTGTAGGTTTTTGGTACCAAAGAGACTGGCCAGCTTCAATTTATTACCATAAGCAGATGAATATTATGGAGCATACAAATTAGCCTCATGAGCCCTACTAAGTGAAAAACAAGACTCAATAAATAGAAACTAGCTTTGTCACAGGTATGTGGTAGAGCCCTAAATTCAAAAGGGATCATCTATATGTAGGAGCAGTGGACAATTCTGAAACCTGTGGTAGAGGTTTGTAACACAAATCAGAAAGCATATTTTCATCTAAAAAGCCTTATGTTCCCTGATTATACTATATGTGCAAATGCATATGTGTGTAATAATAATCATACTTTCAAAAATATGTATTGTATACTTACTTTAAGTCACGTATTAAACAAAGCTGTCTACTTGTATTAACACATCTATTTCTACAAATAATCTGTATCAATGGTTTTCAAACTCTTTTTGACCACAGCTTACATTGTATATGCTATTAAGGAGACACACACACAGACACACACACACACATCTGTTCTATTGTGGTTGAAAAAATGTTGATCTTGACCCTCGGAATTTATTATACAAACCACTCAAAGGCTAGGAAACACAGATGGAAAATCATTACTTTAGGTAGTAAATGCTGGCATTTAAGAGTTAGACATTGTATTAGGGTTCTCCAGAGGGACAGAACTAATAGGATATATGTATATATGAAACGGAGTTTATTAGGGGGAACTGGCTCACAGAGATAGGTCGTCTGCAAGCTGGAGAAAAAAGAAGCCAGTAGGAGCTCAGTAAAAGTCTGAAAGCCTCAAAACCAGGGAAGCTGAGAGTACAGCCTTCAGTCTGTGGCCAAAGGCCCAAAAGACCCCAGCAAACCACGGGTGTAAGTCCAAGAGTCCAAAAGCCGAAGAACCTGGAGTCTGATGTCCAAGGGCAGGAGGAGCAGGAGGAAGCAAACAGCACAGAGAGAAAGAAGGAAGCCAAAAGACCCAGCAAACAGTTATTCCACCTTCTTCCTCCTGTTTTGTCTTTGCCGTTCTGGCAGCTGATTGGATGGTGCCCACTCACATTAAGGGTGGGTCTGCCTCTCCCAGTCCATTGACTCAAATGTCATTCTCTTCTGGCAACACCTTCACAAACATACCCAGAAACAATACTTTACCAGCCATTGAGCCATCCTCTAATCCAATCAAGTTGACACTCAGTATAATATTAACAATCACTGGCATCTACCTACTTGATTTTCCAAGTAAATCAGTCAGTGATCTGAAATATGTGTATATTTGTGTGTGTTTCTTCAGTGCTTAGGAAGTAATATATGTGTTGCGTATGTGCGTCCATGTTTCTGTGCATATACCATACTATGTTAATTGTTATTTTAAGCTCAACTAGTTTAATCAGCAATTGCTAGGAAGACAACTGGCTACATTTTTGGCAAAAGAAAAGTTATTAAACAATTTCACACCTTATTGTGAAATGAAAATTAAAATAACAATGGAATTTTTTTTTAATATCACTCAGCCTCTGCTGGAGTGAATTTAAATGTGTATAAACTATCTGCAGGCAAAATTGATAATGTATATCAAAAGTCTTAACAATATGTATAAGCAACAAACCAAAAATTCAATTACTAGAAATTTATCCTAAGGAAATAATTAAGCATATGGTCAAACTTTTAGCATACTTAACTTCAAGGCTGTTTGTTTTACAGTTGTTTGTAGTAGTGAAACATTTGAAACAATCAAAACTTTCAACAATTGAGAATTAGATGTAGCGGTAAACATCTGTACAATGGAAGGTGATTATGCCACTAAAACATCATGTAAGAGATGCTTATATACTGACAGAGAAATATGTTTACAATTTTAATGCAAAAATAAAGATAATATAAATAGGCATTTGATGAAAAGAAATAGGCTATTATTGTACTTCTCATCAGAATTGGGGGTTGAAATTTGGGCAAACAGAAGGGGAGGGATCGCTAATTCTATGAAAAGATGCTATTGGATCAAGAGATGTGGGGAGCCCAGTTATGCCAGGTTAAAAAAATATAAGGGGGAGAAGGAATGGAGGTGAGGGAGTTGGAGAAGAAAGATGGGCTGGGAGGAGGGGACAATGGAGAGACAACGTTTAAAATATCATTTATTGTATTTTGCCCTCTAACGTCCCTACAGACTTCAAGAAAAGCTACAGGGAGACAGACATTCTTCACCAAGGCTTTATGGGATACATTGCTCTTTATTTGACTAAATCTCTGGGCATAGACTGATTCAAGAGGTGCGTGTCAGGCCTCTGAGCCCAAGCCTGCACGTATACATCCAGATGGCCTGAGGCAACTGAAGAACCACAAAAGAAGTGAAAATGGCTCATTCCTGCCTTACCCAATGACATTACCTTGTGACATTCCTTCTCCTGGACAATAAGTCCCCAGAGCTACCCACCAAGCACCTTGTGACTCCTGCCCCTGCCTGCAAGAGAGCAACCCCCTTTAACTGAAATCTTCGACTACCTACTCAACTCCTATAAAACTGCCCCACCCCATCTCCCTTTGCTAACTCTCTTTTTGGACTCAGCCCACTTGAACCCAAGTGAAATAAATAGCCTTGCTGCTCACACAAAGCCTGTTGGTGGTCTCACACGGACGGGTGTGACTTTTGGTGCCGAAGACCCAGGACAGGAGGACACCTTCGGGAGACCAGTACCCTGTCCTCACCCTCACTCTGTGAAGAGATCTACCTATGACCTCGGGTCCTCAGACCAACCAGCCCAAGGAACATCTCACCAATTTCAAATCAGGTAAGCGGTCTTTTCACTCTCTTCTCCAACCTCTCTCGCTATCCCTCCAGCCTTCATTCTCTCCCTTCCTTAATTTCAATTCCTTTCTCTTTCTGGTAGAGACAGAGGAGACACGTTTTATCCGTGAACTCAAACTCCAGCACCAGTCACAGACTCAGGAAATCACTGTGAGGGATGCCTGCCTGATTCTTCACCTACATTTCAGAGGTGTCTCATCACCATGGAGATGCCTGTCTTGATCCTTCACCTTGGTGGCAAGTACCACCTCCCTTTGGTGGCAAGTACCATCTCCTCTGGGTGGCAAGTGCTACCCCCCTCCCCGTGCCTCTACCCTCTGTTTCCTCTGGGCTTGCCTCCTTCACTATGGGCAACCTTCCACCCTCCATTCCCCCTTCTTCTCCCTTAGCATGTGTTCTTAAAAACCTAAAACCCCTTCGATTAATACGTGACCTAAAACCTAAACATCTTATTTTCTTCTGCAACACTGCCAGGCCCCAGTACAAACTCGACAATGGATCTAAATGGCCAAAAAAATGACACTTTTGATTTTTCCATCCTACAAGATCTAGATAATTTTGTCGAAAAATGGGCAAATTGTCTGAGGTGCCTGACATACACATCAGTCCCTCCCTAGTCTCTGCTCCCAATGCAACTTGTCCCAAATCTTTTTTCTTTCTCTCCTGTCTGTTCCTTCAGTCTCCATCCCAAACTCTGAGTCCTTTGAATCCTCCTTTTCTAGGAAAGCATCTGATCTCTCCCCTCCTCCCCAGGCCACTCCTTGCCAGGCCAAACCAGGTCCCAATTCTTCCTCAACCTCCGTTCCCCGACCCTATAACCTTCTATCACCTCCCCTCCTCACATCTGGTCCAGCTTACAGTTTTGTTCCACAACTAGCCTCCCTCACCTGCCCAACAATTTCCTCTTAGAGAGGTGGCTGGAGCTGAAGGCATAGTCAAGGTTAATGCTCCTTTTTCTTCAGCTGACCTCTCCCAAATCAGTTAGCATTTAGGCTCTTTTTCATCAAATAAAAAAACCCAGCCCAGTTCATGGCCCATTTGGCAACAACCCTTAGATGCCTTACAGCCCTAGACCCAGAGGGGCCAGAAAGCCATCTTATTCTCAATATGCATTTTATTACCCAATCTGCTCCCAACATTAAAAAAGCTCCAAAAATTAGATTCTGGCCCTCAAACCCCACAACAGGACTTAATTAACCTCACCTTCAAGGTGTACAATAATAGAGAAGAGGCAGTCAAGCGGCAATGTATTTCTGAGTTGCAATTACTTGCCTCCACTGTAAGAGAAACCGTGGCCACATCTCCAGCATTCAAGAACTTCAAAACACCTAAACCGCAGTAGCCAGGCATTCCTCCAGGACTTCTCCCCACAGGATCTTGCTTCAAGTGCCCGAAATCTGGCCACTGGGCCAAGGAATGCCCACAGCCCAGGATTCCTCCTAAGCCATGTCCCATCTGTGCAGGACCCCACTGGAAATTGGTCTCTCCAACTTGCCTGGCAGCCACTCCCAGAGCCCCTGGAACTCCGGCCCAAGGCTCTCTGACTGACTCCTTCCCAGATCTTCTTGGCTTAGCGGCTGAAGACTGATGCTACCCGATTGCCTCAGAAGCCTCCAGGACCATCAAAGATGCTTTGGGTAACTCTTGTAGTGCAGGGTAAGTCTGTCCCCTTCTTAATCAATACAGAGGCTACACACTCCACATTACCTTCCTTTCAAGGGTCTGTTTCCCTTGCCTCCATAAGTGTTGTGGGTATTGACGGCCAGGCTTCTAAACCTCCTAAAACTACCCAACTTTGGTGCCAACTTAGACAACATTCGTTTATGCATTCCTTTTTAGTTATCCCCACCTGTCCAGTTCCCTTATTAGGTCGAGACATTTTAACAAAATTATCTGCTACCCTGACTATTACTGGACTACAGCCACATCTCATTGCCGCCCTTCTCCCCAAACCAAAGCCTCCTTCGCGTCTTCCTCTTGTATCCCCCAACTTTAACCCACAAGTATGGGACACCTCTACTCCCTCCCTGGCAACTGATCACACACCCATTACTATCCCATTAAAACCTAATCACCCTTACCCCACTCAACTTCAGTATCCCATCCCACAACAGGCTTTAAGGGGACTAAAGCCTGTTATCACTCACCTGCTACAGCATGGGCTTCTAAAGGCTATAAACTCTCCTTACAATTCCCCCATTTTACCTGTCCAAAAACCAGACAAGTCTTACAGGTTAGTTCAGGATCTGCACCTTATCAACCAAATTTTTTTGCCTATCCACCCTGTGGTGCCCAATCTGTACACTCTTTTGTCCTCAATACCTTCCTCCACAACTCACTATTCCATTCTTGATTTTAAAGATGCTTTTTTCACTATTCCCCCACACCCCTCATCCTAGCCTCTCTTTGCTTTCACCTGGACTGACCCTGACACCCTTCAGTCCCAGCAGTTTACCTGGGCTGTACTGCTGCAAGGCTCCAGGGACAGCCCTCATTATTTCAGCCAAGCTCTTTCTCATGATTTATTTTCTTTCTATCCATCTGCTTCTCACCTTATTGAATATTTTGATGACCTTCTACTTTATAGCCCCTCCTACAAATCTTCCCAAGAGGACACCCTCTTGCTCCTCCAACATCTATTCTCAAAGGAATATCGCATATCCCCCTCCAAAGCCCAAATTTCTTCCTCATCCGTTTCATTATTTCTTCCTATCTCAGCATAATTCTTCATAAAAACACATGTGCTCTCCCTGCTGATCACGTCCAGCTAATCTCCCAAACCCCAACCCCTTCTACAAAGCAACAACTTCTTTCCTTCCTAGGCATGGTTAGGTACTTTTGCCTTTGGATACCTGGTTTGGCCATCCTGACTAAACCATTATATAAACTCATGAAAGGAAACTTAGCTGACCCCATAGATCCTAAATCATTTCCCCACCCTCTTTCTGTGTCTTAAAAACAGCCCTAGAAGCTGCTCCCACACTAGCTTTCCCTAATTCATCCCAACCCTTTTTCATTACACACAGCCGAAGTGCAGGGCTGTGCAGTCAGAATTCTTACACAAGAGCTGGGACCGCACCTTGTAGCCTTTCTGTCCAAACAACTTGACCTTACTATTTTAGGCTGGCCCCCACATTTTTCCTGATACCACACCTGACTCCCATGAGTGAGTGAATCCACCTGGCACTCACTTAATTTCCCCATAGTTCCTCCTTTCCTGTTCCTCACCCTGATCACACTTGGTTTATTGATAGCAGTTCCACCAGGTCTAATTGACACTCACCAGCAAAGGCAGGCTATACTATAGTATCTTCCACATCTATCATTGAGGCTACTTCTCTGCCCCACTCCACTACCTCCCAGCAAGCTGAACTCAGTGCCTTAACTCAAGCCCTCACTCTTGCCAAAGGACTACATGTCAATATATATACTGACTTTAAATATGCCTTCCATATCCTGAACCACCATGCTGTTATATGGGCTGAAAGAGGTTTCCTCACTACGCAAGGGTCCTCCATCATTAATGCCTCTTTAATAATAACTCTTCTCAAGGCTGCTTTACTTCCAAAGGAAGCTGGAGTCATTCACTGCAAAGGCCATCAAAGGGCCTCAGACCCCGTTGCTCAAGGCAACAATTATGCTGATAAGACTGCTAAAGAAGCAGCCAGTATTCCTACTTCTGTCCCTCATGGCTAGTGTTTCTCCTTCTCATCAGCCACTCCTACTTACTCTCCCAAAGAAGTTTCCACCTATCAATCCCTCCCCACTCAAGGCAAGTGGTTCTTAGACCAAGGAAAATTCCTCCTTCCAGCCTCACAGGCTCATTCCATTCTATCATCCTTTCATAACCTCTTCCACATGGGTTACAAGCCACTAGCCTGCCTCCTGGAACCTCTCATTTCCTTTAAGACATTTGCCCTACATTTTACTCCATTCTTGGTACCTTCCCCTTGTTCTTCAGACACTCCTCCCAGCCCTTCCTCTTGCTTGCTTATACCCAGCCCCACGAATGGCAGTAAAAGGTTACTCATAGACACTATGTGCTTTCTCATACACCATAAAAATCAAACCTCCCCCTCTACTTAGTTGCCCCATCAATCCCCATTACAACCTCTAATGGCTGCTGCCCTTGCTAAATCCCTAAGAGTCTGGGTGCAAGACACCTCTTTTGGTGCTCCCTCTCATCTTTTCACTTTACATTTCCAGTTTTGCCTCACAAAGTTCTCTTCTTCCTCTGTGACTCCTCCACTTACATGTGTCTACCTATTAATTGGACAGGCACATGTACACTAGTTTTCCTTACCCCCAAAAATCAATTTGCAAATAGGACCGAACAGCTTCCTGTTCCCCTCATGACACCAACACTTCACTACTATTTTTTTATTATTATTAATGTAAGAAGACAGGAATAGCCTCAACTTACTGCTGAAAAAGGAAGACTCTGTACATTTTTAAATGAAGAGTGTTGTTTTTAACTAAATCAATCTGGCCTGGTATATAGCAACATAAAAAAACTCAAGGATAGAGCCCAAAAACTCGCCAACCAAGCAAATAATTACGCTGAACCACCTTGGGCACTTTCTAATTGGATGTCCTAGGTCCTCCCCATTCTTAGTCCTCTAATACCTGTTTTTCCCCTTCTCTTATTCGGACCTTGTGTCTTCTGTTTGGTTTCTCGATTCATACGAAACCACATCCAGGCCATTACCAATCATTCTATATGACAAATGCTCCTTCTAACATCCCCACAATATCACCCCTTACCCCAAAATCTTTCTTCAGTTTAATCTCTTCAGCTCTAGGTTCCCATGCCGCCCGAATCCAGCTCGAAGCAGCCCTGAGAGACATTGCCCATTATCTTTCCATACCAACCCCCAAAATTTTCACTGCCCCAACCCAACACTTCACCACTATTTTGTTCTGTTTTTCTTATTAACATAAGAAGACAGGAATGTCAGGCCCCTGAGCCCAAGCCTGCATGGATACATCCAAATGGCCTGAGGCAACTGAAGAACCACAAAAGAAGTGAAAATGGCCAGTTCCTGCCTTAACTGATGACATTAACTTGTGACATTCCTTCTCCTGGACAATAAGTCTCCGGAGCTTCCCACTGAGCACCTTGTGACCCCCACCCCTGTCCGCAAGAGAACAACCCCCTTTAACTGGAATTTTCCACTACCTACCCAAATCCTATAAAACTGCCCCACCCCTGTCTCCCTTTGCTGACTCTCTTTTTGGACTCAGCTCACTTGAATCCAAGTGAAATAAACAGCCTTGCTGCTCACACAAAGCCTGTTGGTGGTCTCTTCACACAAACGTGTGTGACAGTGCCCACTTTTATTTGTATTAATTTTTAAATATTTCAAAAAAAAGGACAAAGTTTAATATATAATTTCAGTCTACTATTTTATACTTAAAATACTCCATTGTTTTTTAAGACACAGCTATTAAAAAGTTATGTAATGCCCCTGTTTCTTTCTCCTATGTCCTAATCTGTGAAATGAGATAGCAATCAATTACTTGCCTTGTTAGGTTGATGCGTGCTTGATAAAAGCCTCCTGCAATATATATCATGCATCAAGCCTTAAATCTGTGGTACTTGGAATTACTATTATTTTAATGGATATTTATAGAAAGGTCCAGGATCATATTTCTGTTAATGCTCCTAATATCTTACTGCTTTACCTAACTTTGCATTTTTATTAAACTCATATATGATGGACATACCTGGCTATATACTCCAGATTATCCTTACTATTCATACTTGTCTTTAATTTATTTGATTAAGTGATTTTAATTCCAAGAAAAACTCTTTTGAGTTTAGATTGTTAGTGTTAGTATAAGGTTTGAGCTTTGTTTGCAAAAGATTTAAATTTTCAGGTTTTACCCACAATAGAAATAACTGACATGTTCACAGATTATTCACGCTCACTATAGTCTAAGAGTATTTAATACATTCAAACCTTATATAACCTTATGAGATAGGTATTATTAAAATCTAGAATTCATAGTGAAGAAAGCTCAGGAACATGTAACTTGTCCAAATTCACAGAGCTGGTAACTGGGAGGGTGGGGATTTAAACTCAGGCAATATGGTGCTATGCCTGTGCTCTTATTCACTATACTTATACTATCCAACTTTCATGGTACTAATTGACTATCTTTGTGCAGTTACATGGGTTTTTCTTTTCAGATAATACTTGTTTAAAAAAAAACAAACTGTAAAAATTTAAAGAGATTTATTCTGAGCCAATATGAATTATGATGGCCCAGAGAAGAGTCTCGAGAGGTCCTGAGAAAGTGTGCCTGAGGCAGAGTGGGGTTATAGTTTGATTTTATTTATTTTAGGGAGACAGAAGTTACAGGTAAAGACATATGTCAATACATGGAATGTAGGCATTGGTTCAGCACAAAAAGGAAGGCCATCTCAAAGTGGGGGCATACAAGTCATAGGTGGATTCAGATTTTCTCATTGGTAACTGGTTGAAAGAGTTAACCTTTGTCTAAAGACTTGAAGTCAGTAGGAGGAAATGCTTGAGTTAAGATGAGGGGAGTTGTGGAGGCCAAGGTTCTCGTTATGTGGATGAAGCCTCAAAGGTAGCAGCCTTCAGAGAGAACAGATGGTAAGTATCTCTTTTCAGGCCTTAACAGGTGTCAGACTCTTAATCTCTTCTTGATCTTGGAAAGGCCTCCAAAGAGAAGTCCTGGCTGCAGTAATGGAGATTCTCTACAGATGCAAATTTGCCCCATGAAAGACAGCTTTGCTAAGCCATTTCAAAATATGTGAAAACATACATTTTGGGGTAAATTATTTTGATTTTCTTCAGTGTCTCCTATCTGTTATGTGATGCTATATCAGAGTCAGGCTGGAATTTGGTATCTTATTGCCACGAAGAGTCTGTTTGGTCATTTTTATGATCTCCATTTTAATGTTAATGTTTGTCAGTTGTGCCAAAACTTAACAGAGAATTCAAGACAGAGGGAGTATAAAGAGATGTATCCAATCTCCCTTCCTGTCAGAGGCAAAGATTCAGTTTTTCAGGTTTCTCCAGTATCTCCTTAACCAAAAGGGGATCTGTTTAGTTGATTGGGGGCTTGGGATTTTATTTTTGGTTTACATACCCATCTTGCAGTATGCATATTTTACAAAATGATTAGTTAGTCTTATGGACGTTATAATTTCTTTCATTAAGTGTCATTTATATTCTACCTGGTTATTGCAGGAACATGTATTAAACAATTATTTTTTCCATATTTGTCTTGTAACTAGACAGTATATCCCTTTGACATTATAATGCTCTTCAATAATTCCTTTAATTTTTTTAGGTACATATGCATATGATTAAGTAATAAAATTATTGGTCTTTTTAATATAATATATAAATAATAAATTTACTTAATGTTTAGCTATAATTTTGCTTCCTTTTGATCTAATTGATTAAGCAATTTTTAAATATTAAAGGTTATACTAATTTTGAAAGTTTTTGAACATTTTCTTTTATTTGGTTCACTGTTTTCTTCAACTTTAATTTTAAGTTTTGGGGTACATGTGCGGGATGTGAAGATTTGTTACATAGGTAAATGTGAACCATGGTGGTTTGCTGCACACATCAACCCATCACCTAGATACTAAGTCCAGCATCCATTAGCTATTCTTCCTGATGCTCTCCCTCCCCTTACCTCACCCTCAACGGGCCCCAGCATGTGTCCATGTGTTCTCATCATTCGGCTCCCACTTATAAGTGAGAACTTGTGCTTTTTGGTTTTCTGTTCCTGCTTTAGTTTGCTGAGGATAATGGCTTCCAGCTCCATCCATGTCCCCACAAAGGACATGATCTTGTTCCTTTTTATGGCTGCATAGTATTATGGGGTGTATACGTACCACATTTTCTTTATCCAGTCTATCATTGATGGGCATTTGGGTTGATTCCATGTCTTTGCTATTGTGAATGGTGCTGCAATGAACATGTGTACATGTATCTTTATAATAGAATAATTTATATTCCTTTGGGTATATACCAAGTAATGGGACTGCTGGGTCAAATGATGTTTCTGCTTCTATATCTTTGAGAAATTATCCCCTTTCTTCCACAATGGTTGAACTAATTTACACTCCCACCAAAAGTGTATAAATGTTCCCTTTTCTTCACAACCTTGCCAGCATTTGTTTTTTTTGGCTTTTTAAATAATTGCCATTCTGATTGGCATGAGATGGCATGTCATTGTGGTTTTGATTTGCATTTCTCTAATGATCAGTGATGTTGATCTTTTTTTCATATGTTTGTTAGCCACACGAATGTCTTCTTTTGAAAAGTGTCTGATCATGTACTTTGCCCACTTTTTAATGAGGCTGATAGTTTTTTCGTTGTAAATTTGTTTAAGTTCCTTGTAGACTCTAGATATTAGACCTTTGTCAGATGGATAGATTGCAAAAATTTCCTTCCATTCTATAGGTTGTCTGTTCACTCTAATGATTGTTTGCTGTGCAGAAGCTCTTTAGTTTAATGAGATCCCATTTGTCAATTTTTGCTTGTTGAAATTGCTTTCAGTTTTTTTTAATCATGAAATCTGTGCCTGTCCCTATGTCCTTAATGGTATTGCCTCGATTTTCTTCTAGGGTTTTTATAGTTTTGGGTTTTACATTTAAGTTTTTAATCCATCTGAGTTAATTTTGTATAAAGTGTAAGGAAGGAGTACAGTTTCAATTTTCTGCATATGGCTAGCCAGTTCTTCCAGCACCATTTATTAAATAGGGAATCCTTTCCCCATTGCTTGTTTTTGTCAGGTTTGTCAAAGATTACACAGTTGTAGGTGTGTGGCCTTATTTCTGAGTTTTCTATTCTGTTCCATTGGTCTATGTGTCTGTTTTTGTACTAGTACGATGCTGTTTTTGTTAGTGTTGCCTTGTAGTATAGTTTGAAGTCAGTTAGTGTGATCCTTCCAGCTTTATTCTTTTTGGTTAGGATTGCCTTGGCTATGTGGGCTCTTTTTTGATTTCATATGTATTTTAAAATATTTTTTTCTAATTCTGAAGAATGTCAACAGTAGTTTAATGGAGATAGCATTGAATCTATAAACTGTTTTGGGCATTATGGCCATTTTAATGATACTGATTCTTCCTATCCATGAGCATGACATGTTTTTCCATTTGTTTGTGTCCTCTCTTATTTCCTTGAGCAGTGCTTTGTAGTTCTTGAAGAGGTCCTTCACTTCCTCTGTTAGCTGTATTCCTAAGTATTTTATTCTCTTTGTAGCAATTGTTAATGGGAGTTCATTCATGGTTTGGCTCTTTGCTTGCCTGTTGTTGGTGTATAGGAATGCTAGTGATTTTTGCACACTGATTTTGTATCCTGAGACTTTGCTGAAGTTGCTTATCAGCTTAAAAAGGTTTTGGGCTGAGACAACGGGTTTTTCTAGATGTAGGATCATATCATCTGCAAACAAAGATAATTTGACTTCCTCTCTTCATATTCAAATATGCTTTATTTCTTTCTCTTGCCTGACTGCCCTGGCCAGAACTTCCAATACTATGTTGAATAGAAGTGGTGAGAGAGGGCATCCTTGTCTTGTGCCAGTTTTTAAGGGGAATGCTTCCAGCTTTCACCCATTCAGTATGATATTGGCTGTGTGTTTGTCATATATGGCTCTTATTTTGAGGTGTGTTCCTTCAGTACCTAGTTTATTGAGAGTTTTTAACATAAAGCGATGGTGACATTTTATCGAAGCCCTTTTCTATGTCTCTTGAGAAAATAATGTGGTTTTTGTCTTTAGTTATGTTTATGTGATGAATTACATTTATTGATTTGTGTATGTTGAACCAACCTTGCAACCCAGGGATGAAGCCAACTTGATTGTGATGAATAAGCTTTTTGATGTGCTGCTGGATTTGGTTTGCTATTATTTTATTGAAGATTTTTGCATCAAAAAATATGGATGTCTTCATGGATTTCCATTTCATCCTCTTGTGAAGAAGCCATGCTAATCTTCTCTGTATCATATCCCATTTTAGTGTATGTGCTACCAAAGCAAGCATGATAATTCATTACATTACTAATTTTAATGAGGATTCCTTGGTGTTTTTCTCTAAATTTTAGTATAAAATATACTACTGATAGTTGATTTTGAAAAAATAATATTTCTTTTTGTGGTATATTACTTTTTTTTTTTTTTTTTGGAGACAGAGTCTTGCTCTGTCACCCAGGTTGGAGTGCAGTGGCATGATCTTGGCTCACTGCAAATTCCACCTCCCAGGTTCAAGTAATTCTCCTGCCTCAGCTTCCCAAGTAGCTAGGACTAAGGCATATGCCACCATGCCTGGCTAATTTTTGTATTTTTAGTAGAGATGTGGTTTTGCCATGTTGGCCAATCTGGTCTCAAACTCCTGACCTCAAGTGATCCACCTGCCTCAGCCTCTCAAAGTGCTCTGATTACAGGCATGAGCCACCATGCCTGGCCAGTGAATTACTTTTTAATACCATTTATATTCTTTTTTGAAATGTTATATTTTTTGTGATATCAAATAAGTGTAATTATGTCTCCAGGAGTGACTTTTTCCTTTCTTTTGTAAAGTTTCTATGATATTATTTTCTAATTACAATGAGTACAAATAAATAAAATTAGGAAAAACCTGACCATAATTACTAGGTAATTTCATATTTATTATTTAAAGACATATCAATTTGTATCATGATAAAAACCTTTCTGTTACTACCCACCCTATTTGTGAAGTCGTTATTAAGAGTTAGTGAATACACACTAAAGTTTATTTACAGTGGTCAATGAGACTTTTTAAATCAAATGTTTGGGCTTGAGAATTATTAAAGAAAAATTTATTTATTATAATTAAGATAAAATTAAACTTTAAATGGATGCATCACAGTTTGGAGAGTTTAGTCAGTAAAAAAAGTTATAAGAAAATCACCATAAGTTGAAATGTGCTTCTTGGATATAACAGAAAATAGTTATTATTTTTTAGATAATTGGTAATTTTCCATATGAACTTATTTCCTCTCTGACATGTATATCACTAAGGTAACTAATTTAATCTAAACAAAGTTAAACTAAACTTCAGAGTGATGACATATGAATTAGATGTTCAGCCGATTTTCTTTCTTAGAAGAAAAATTTAGAAGGCAAAATATTGGTTCATCCAATATACCCAAGGTTTATGTAGCAATTGCATTTTGCAGATTAAGGAGAAAAATGGTCATAAATCATGAATCAATACTCATGGCTTTCTTTCACAATATTCACGAGAGTAAACAAAGCAATAAGAAGTATGATATATGAAGACTGAATTATATATTATATACAAGCACCACTATTCATGGACTCTGTATTTGCAAATTCATCTTCTTACTAAAATGTATTTCTAACTCTATCCCTGAAATCAATACTCTCAGGCTTCCCAAATCTCCTTCATTCATGGACATATAAGGGGATTGGGGAAGCTGGGCAGGAGGTCTAGGGGAGAGAAAGTGGGAAAGGAAGAGAGAGGGAGAGAAAGACAGTAAGAGGCAGGGAGAGAAATGGGGACAAAGAGAGACAATGAATGAGAATAAGAGAAGGCAAAGCAGATGTTCTGGTTCCTTTTCTATTCCCACTTCTTGGTTCTAGTTCCTATGGAGGTCTATAATACATGCTAGTCCCTTGAGTTCCATTACACACCCTGGCATTCTTGCAATACATGTCATTTTGTTTGGTTTGGTTTTTGATTAGGTTAGGTGTACTTTCGTTACTTGTAAGCAATCTGCTCTCACAACAGATGAAAAAAATAAATCCCCAAGGTTTCTAAAAGATAACTTTATTTAACTTCAAATTTTCAAGTTCTTCTTCAGTTTTATTGTTTTCCGACATGGCTATTGAGAAGTTTTGTGTATAGGTAGGAAATTCTTTTTTCTGTGATTGCTTTGGAAGAGTTTTATTTTTCTATAGTTTTATTGTAATAGATCCATTCACCTATTTATTTTTATGTGCTTATTTTCATTTATTCCACTTAGTACTCTTGGAATTCTGAATTGTTGACTTTCATTAATGATAATTTTCATTCATTTTATTTTCAAATAGTTGTATCTAGGCTATCCTGTCTATATTCACCTTCTAAAAATCAAATTAAAACTGAATTTATCATCCTTTCATTTATATATCCTCATTTCTATTTCATATTCATAAGCTTTTCTCTTTGTTGGATTGTCAGTAGTTTCTTCACTCTTCTGAATTTCTAGTTTCTTTTTCTCAGAATTTAATCTGCTGCAAAAATATTGAGTCTATAATTAAACCTTTAAGCTCTTTTCTTATTTGTGTATATTTCTTTGATAAATGTACATTTTTCAAAGTTGCTAGTGTCTTGTTAATTACTTATAATTGTGTTTTTATATATATTAAACATAATTGTTTTGTTATATATTTTATAATTGACTATACCAATTTTTTAAGATTTTGCAGGCTCAATTCAGCAAGGTGTTATTTTTGCTGATTCTTCCCCATGGTGACATGTTTCCCCAGAGGGCTTGGGTTTTTTTTTTCTTCTTTTCTTTTATGTTTAGCTCATTTCCATTGGCACTTACTGAAATTCAAAGAGGGCCTGAGTCTAAAGTCTGTGCTTCCATACAGGTTTTGTTTGGGTTTCTGTCAGGTTCATTGAGTCATCACAATTTTGGACTTAGATATTTTTTCCTCACTTACCCACAGCTAAGGATTGAATAAGTATTTTTCAAGTGTTTCACTCTGATAGAAGATGTGCAATTTAAAATGCTACTCGGCATAGACCTAGCACATTTGTCTGCTGTCCTTCTGTGCATGTTATAACTTGGTTAAACCATGACTTGTTAGAAAATATCAAGAGAGCTAGTCACAGCATAAGAGTTGCTCACTTCTCCAAACTCAAACTCTGTTTCCTGATATTGAGGCATTTTTCTCTCTATATTTGGACTTCTATATATACATATAGATATTGAAACATATATTTATATAAATATTTTTTCTGTTTCACAAAGAATTTTTTTTTTTTTTTGAGATAGAGTCTCGCTCTGTTGCCCAGGCTGGAGTGCAGTGGCATGATCTCGGCTCACTGCAAGCTCCAGCTCCTGGGTTCACACCATTCTCCTACCTCAGCCTCCTGAATAGCTGGGACCACAGGTGCCCGCCACCACGCCATCTAATTTTTTGTATTTTTAATAGAGACGTGGTTTCACTGTGTTAGCCAGGATGGTCTCGATCTCCTGACCTCATGATTTGCCCACCTTGGCCTCCTAAAGTGCTGAGATGACAAGTGTGAGCCACCATGCCTGGCCCACAAAGAATTTTTACATGCTCTCTAGTGGGAATATTTCTCTGGATATCTATTAACCAATATTTCCAGAAACAGAAACATAATTTGATATTAAGAATAAACTATCTTATGCATGAGAAAACTATTAAATCCACCACGTTTGCTCTTCAAGTAGCTGTGATTAAAATATATATATAGAAGTTGACTGGCACACAATGAACAAATATATATATATATATATAACATATACATTTAAAAATATATTTATTTAATTGAAATTAAAATATTTAATATAAACATATGGCTCATGGAATAGATTTAATTATATATAATAAGTACATATATAATATGAATATAATAATTACTTGTTACATATATATAATTAAATATATTCCATGGGCCAAAGAATGCAAATAGAATGTTATCAAAGTATTTATGATGTTGGATTTAATTCTAAAATTAATCCTTTTTATAAGTTCCTAAAATTCATCAGAATATAGATAGGTAGATATATGCGTATGTCTATATATACTTCTTTAAACATTTAAATACTAATAAATCCATGAAATCATAGAAAATATAACACCAGCAAATATAAAAAATAGGAAAATTCCTGCAAAACAAAATTATATAATTTTATCTGTTGGAAAAAATGACAACCAAAAATACAAGTATATTAAGAGCATTTTGAAAAGTGAGTTATATAATAATCTATAATAATTATAATTGGGTTTCATATTTCTTCCTTCAATTATGTTAGTATTTTCTTCAGATGTTTCGCAGCTCCATGGTTCAGTGTGTATATGTTTATAATTGCTATATCTTATTAATAGATTGGCCCTTTTATCATAACAAAATGTTTTTCTTTGTCTATAGTAACTTTTGTTCTTAAAGTATATTTTACCTAATATTAACGTTGCTACTTTTAGATCTCTTTGAGTACTTTTTGCATGGAAATCTGCTTCCATCTTTGATTTTCAACATATCAGTGTCTTTTAAAATGAGTCTCTTATAGACAGTATATAGTGGAATCATGTTTCTTACATCCATTCCAATATGTGCCTTTTAATTAAAAAGTTTAATCAATTTATATTTAATGTAATTACTGATAGTGATGGGCTCACTTCTGCTATTTTGTTATTTTTCATTTATATATCTTATAAATTTTGGATTACAAATACTTTACTGCTTTCTATAGTATTAAACAGATATTTTACTTTATAACATTTTATTACAGTCTTTTTTCATAAATACACATACACATATGTATATGTGCATATATATATATGTGTGTGTGTGTATGTAATTTTCTTAGTGGTTGCCCTTTAGACAACATCTTAATTTATAGCAATCTAGTTTAAATTAATACTAATAATTTTCATAATATAAAATATTGTGCTCCTATGTATTTTTGTCCTCCTCCACCTTTATGCTGTATGGTCACAGATTATGCCTTTGTTCATTGTGTGCCAATCAACTTCCATTTATAATTATTGCTTTAAACAAATTTTAAAATATCAGATGGAAAATGAGTTACAAACAAAAAGTACCTTTAGAGTATGAATGTACAAAAAGTACTTTTTGTATTTGAAATCCAAAGTATATAATTACTTTTACCAGTAATCTTGGATAAAAACAATTTAAGAAAATACAATTATAGGACTATTTTGCTAATGATCATATATGCAAAATTCTTAAACAGTGGTAAATAAAATTCATTCAATATAGAATAGAGAAATATCTACTGACACAAAGTAGTTCAATAAATGACCATACTGATAGTACAATTCTATGGGGAGAAATACTCTAGTTAACAAATTTTATTGGGAAAATTTTTCAGTCATATTATTTTCACTCATAGCATTTAAAAAAAAATTAAAGTTAAGAAATGGCCAATAGGCGTAAAAAGAAATTTCATATAAAACATCAATATATCCAAATATGCTCTGTGGTCAATTTTATTAGTTACCAGTGATAAATAAAAGTCAGATACTAAGCCCACCAACAGATGAAACAGTCCTTCTCCTGGCCAAAGGGACCCGAGGGAAACCTTGAAAACCGAGTTCCTATCCATGACAGGCTGTGAAGTCAGACTGCCTCCTTATACCCTCTCCGTCATTAACTGTCATTAGGCTTTCTTCCCTAAGGACTAAACAGAAACCAGCCCTTTCAAAAGACTCCACCACTCCTATCAACCAACCATCTGACACTACTTCTTTATTTTCTGATAAGAGATCACTGACCATGGAATGGTTCTGGCCATCCTACTGAGAATATGCAGCGAGGGTTTTCATGTCCTCTACATTACCTTTTGACATCAGAGGGCTGAATACTCCACCCTTGGATCATGCTAATGCTGCCATTGTTTGTACATGGGACCCATGAAGAGGCATGGAGCTAATTACAAATGTGCATGTGTCTCCTCTCATAAATATTCATGACTCTTCCTGTAGCTTATTCAATATGTATATTAAGTCACCCTGCTCAGCTTAAATTTCTTTTCCCTTTGATCCTACCTCCAACTGTCTTGTTTCTGGCTTCTGGCCAAAGGTTATGCTTCCTAGCCTGTCAGAATGGCCACCCTGCAGGCTTCAACAATTTATGAGAAATAAAGTTCTCCTTTCTAAATTTATTAACATCATAATTCTTCAGATGACACCAGGTAAATGTAAAAAAAGATGTGTGTGTATTTTCCCATCAGGTTGGAAAAAGATATAAAATAACATGGTGCCAGTTAGTGTGGCTATCAATGTATACTCCCATACATAGTTGGTAGGAGTATAAATTATATTCACTTTATGTGTATGAAGAATAAAATCATGATAACATGAAAGTATATACAGCCAGTCTTCTTTATTCATGAGTTCTGTTTCCATGGATTCAACCAATCACACATTGAAGAAATTTGAAAAAAATTAACAATTACATCTGTTCTGAACATGTACAGACTTGTCATTGTTTCCTAAATATTATAGTACAAGTTATTTACATAGCACTTACATTATATTAAATATTATAAGTAATCTAGAAATGAGTGAAGTATATAGGAGAATGTGTATAGGTTACATGCAAATACTACATCATTTTATACCAGAAACTTGAGCATTCATTCATGAATTTTGGTACCTGTATGAGGTCCTGAAATGATTCTTCATGGATACAGAGAGAAAACTGTATGTCCATATGTAAAATCATGATAACATGAAAGTGTATATAGCCAGTCTTATTTATTCATGAGTTCTGTTTCCATAGAGTCAATCACACGTGTGTGTGTGTGTATATATATATATAATGTATATATGAGATATGAACATACAAGTGGTATGAAAAATGTTTGACAAAATACATATTTCATGCAGACACACATGCACCTTATGCCACACAATGTAAATGTAAAGTAAGGTTTACTGGGGAAAGCTGATAGGTGGAGGGTCCCAAAGGGCAGTGTATCTAGCTCTGTCATTGATGTCTCATGGGCAGGGACCCAGGAGAGGCAACTTGTCCCCTAAACCTCTCTATTTTTTAAAAAGTTGAAAGGGGTTGCTTGATACATCTAGTCAAATAATAGAACACAATGAAAGTTCCCCAGTGAATAACTGGTCTCATTACAAACAGGGAATCTCTGGAGCTCACTTGTTGATGTAAACATCAACTTTTGGGGCTGGCCAAGAGCTGCTGAGCTGAATAAACACCATGAAGATGGTGGAAACAAGCCTCTAGGGCTACTCAGATCTATCTCTACTCACACCAAATGAAAACAGGCATTTTTGGAGAAAAGTGAGGGATAACTTGTGTGGAAGTATTTGAAAATGAACTTTCACTTGATACATTGTGTATTCTCTGTGGCTGAATTTGTTTACCAGAAGAAAGAAATCAATCTGTCACTGTGTCGTTCCAAATTAACACAAAATAAGACATTGCTCTTGCCTTCGAGTGGTGGGAGTGATGAAAGCATGCTGTTCTTTCTAATGAGAAATGGCATGAGTTTAAATGTGTTCTAAATTTCTGGATAAATAAGCAATGTTTATATCTGAGGAAATGCATAAAAAATAAATAAAACACTTTTCTCTGGGTACAATACATGGGTTTTTTGGTGCTTTCAGCTAAAATTTAGCAAAAATCCTACAAAACTCCAGTTTAGTTCTTAAGAGTGCAATCATAGTCATTGTGTTAATAGGCCAGGCCTTTTGTAGCTGTTTTGTCCTACAAATAAATTTATGCTGTATTTTTGACTTCTTGCCAATGGAAACTCATAGCAGCTGGGAGAAGATGACAGAAAATAGCCCCTAAGCAGATAAGCAAGCCAATGATTTTTTCCATCTGACCACAAACACTTGACGGAAGCGTTTATTAAATCTGGCAGGATGTAAAGCCTTTACTGGCTTTTATTGAAAGTTGCATGTAAAGTGAAATATTTGCAAACACAGATCCATTTTTTCATACCTGTGGTTCAACAAACTAGGCACCTCCTGTTTTGGTCCTGCCACATTAGTATCCTGGTGAAGAAAAGCAATTTTTTCCTAACTTTTATCTTCTGAAAGAGAATCTAATTAATTTGTGATTGCAGCATTCATCTTACAGATATATTATCTGTGTTGCTTCATGAGCTCAGCAGCTGTGACAATGGACCTGCCATCCTGCTCAGTAATTGGAGCATCTCAGGAATACAAGGCCCAACAAAAACCCCATAACAAGTACTGTTTTGCTGGAAATATTCAGACAAATAAATTATTCCCCAACCTTTACCTGGATCTCTGATCACAGTGTCAACTTCTTGTCCCCTTGTGTCCTACTGTGCTCTTTTTTTCCCTTTTACAGATGTTGATTTGCAAATAAACCATTTATAAAAGAGAGGGGGATAGAAAAAATGTGTACTGGAGCAAGTGCAAGAGAGTGTCCCTTAATGATTCCATTTGCTGAAGCTCAAGCTTTGAAAGTAACAATTACATAACAGATGGGACATGGCTGATTGTTGAAAAACTGACACTTAACCTATTTCATCAATAAGTGGTTTAGCAATAAACAAAAATAGTAATGATGTGCTGTGGTAAATGCTATTGCTAATTGCTCTGCTCTAATTACCCAGATAGAGCCACAATAAATAATTCGGTGTCTTTATTTTTTTCTGAAACTTTTCCAGCTGCCCTCCCTCTAGAAATTGTCTTCTCCCTCATTCTTGTTTATAGAAGTCTTACCTATCTTCCAAGCAATAGAGTCTCAAGAAAGCCAGCAGAATTCTCAATCCCTGAGATGCATTCATTGGCCTTTGGTGTCGTGTACACCCTGTGACTACCATCATCACATCAGAAAATACAGCTGGATGACTAATTCCTTATCTTTCACAAGATCTGCTGTCTATTCATCTCCACCATGCTTTCTGCTCCAGAAGGCTAACTTGTACAAATTACAACCAGGAACTTTCATAAACCGTGCTTTTTGGAAATCTTTGATGAATTGGAAGCCATGCAGGAGATCAGAGAGAGAAAGGAGAATAAAGTCTGATTTTTTTTGCTTTTTTTGAGATGGAGTCTCGCTCTGTTTCCCAGGCCAGAGTACAGTGGTGCAATCTTGGCTCACTGCAACCTCCACCTCCCAGATTGAAGCAATCTTTCTGCCTCAGCGTACCGAGTAGCTGGAATAACAGCTACCCACCACCACACTTGGCTAATTTTTCTATTTTTAGTAGAGACAGGGTTTTACCATGTTGGCCAGGCTGGTCTTGAACTCCTGACCTCAAGTGATCCACCCACCTCGGCCTCCCAAAGTGCTGGGATTAGAGGCATGACCCACTGCACCCATACTAGATTTTTATTCCAATGATTTCCTCCATGGATTGACCATGTTCCTTAACCTCCATATCAGAGCTTCTTTCAAGCTGGTCTCCTTATAAACAACTACCTAAATGGTTATACTAACTCTTCCTTCCCTTATCTCTTCAGCATAGTGGTTTCACAATCTGGGGCTCACTAGTTTCAACTGTGACTTTATTCCTTGTTATCCCACCACACTCAAATTTCTATAAATAACCCCTTTGAAAGTATTCATTTTGTATAACAAACTTCTCCCAAATTTAGTGACTTTATCAAAAGCTATTTTATTTTTTCTCATAATGTTTTGGGTTAGGAATTCTAGCAGAACATGGCTGGCCAATTCTTCTGCTCCATGTAGCATTGACCAGTGTTATTTGGTGACATTTAGCTGGAGGCTGGAGTGTCCAAGAAGGCTTCACTGCTATCACTGGGACATTGGTAGGGACACCTGGAAAGCTGGTCTCAGGTTCTTCCTCTTTTCATGTAGCCTCAGGGCATCTCCACCTTGTCTTCCCAGCATAGTAGTCAGACTTCCACATGATGGATCTTACATGGCTTCAGGAGATCCTCTCTTTTTGGGCTTGAGTAGAGCAAGAGGGAAGTTGCTAGTCCTTTTAAAAACTAGGCTGGTATCTGGCTGTATTCATTTTCATTGCAACATAACAAATCCCATCATATTCACAAGTCCAATCACACTCAAGGGGATGAAGTTATACAGAATTTGTACACGAGGAGGCAGGAACCATGGGGGCCACCTTGGCAGTTTGATGATCAGTCTTCCCATGGCCCCCAATCATTCATATCCTCCCAACATGAGAAATACATTCACCCACCCCTCTCTAAAGATTCTCAGGAGTATTAGACCATTAGAGTGTCATCTCAACATTTCAGAACTCATCATCCAAGTGTGCTAAATCAGGTGAAGATGAAACTCCTAGATCTAATCCATTAAGTTTAGGTTCTAGGGAATATTTTCTCTCCATATGTAGACCGGGGAAACTAAAGAAACAAGTTATCTTCCCCTAATACCTCAAACATGCAATTGCAAAACCAGTATAGGATACCTGTTATAGATATTCAAGCTCAAAGGGGGGAAAATGGAAAGTTAAAAGGAGTAACCAGTTCCTAGAAGTTTTGTAATACAGCTGAACAAATATTGATATTTTTCTTGACTAGGATTTAAAGATTAGGAAGAAACCTCTGGGTCTTGGGCTCTGCCCTCAGGGCTATTGTTCTCATTTTCTGAGTCATCCTTCCTTTTTCATGAAAAGTAGCAAGTGTTTGAAGCTAAATAGTTTCATCAACCTGTTTGCTGCCAATAGAATTTAAATAGCCTGAAAGTCTCCTTTTGTTTCACATTCTCTTTGTCCCTTTCACTCAAGCTAGCAGTATTTCTGCTGAAAAAAAATTTCTCGAGAACATTAGGTATCTTTAATGGATTTTACTGGGTTTTACTCTTCTAGGCAAAAGATACATCCATGAATCTTTTAGGCCTTTCTAAGGATTTAGCTTTTGTTTGTAGAACTGGTTGTAGCCTTTGGTTATAGAGTTATGCCTTCATTGTAGCATTTAAATCTATTTTCTGTTTATTATGATGTTTTGACATTATTAACCTTCCCGGCTGGGGAGAAACTTCTAGCCCCAGGGCTAGCTATTCAGAGACAGCAAAGGGCTCAGCTAGGATCATGTCTTCACTAAGCAAACTAACCAACCCAGAGCCAGGTTTCCTCTTCCTGGCCAGTACAATCCAGGAGGCAATATTCCTCTGCCTTCAACATCCGACGGCCAGGTATCAGGCAAGTTGGGATCCCTCTTATACCCCAAAGCTTACAGCACTTATTCAAACTAGCCAGTCCTACATTATTTACTCTTTCTCACTTTGCCTTTCCCACAGAAACCCCAATAGAGACTGGTGTAGACTTTCCCCTTGCTCCTGTCTTCTCCACCTGACCAAAACCTGGTGCTCCCCATGTACCCCTGCTTGGCATACAATAACCCCCTCTCTAGGACCAGTGAGTATAATACACTTATGTTTTTCTGAGCCTCTCCTGTCTCCTCTCTGGTTGCACCTAATTGACCATCACCTAAAAGAACACAGAACATTCAGCCTTTTTAAAATGCCATCCTTTGGGCAATAATTTTCTCACTTTTTTTTTTTTTTTTACTTCTAACATTTTTGGTATCTAGAGAGCCTTAGAATTTTCAAAATGATCAAGCCCTGTTTTCTGTTTAACAATTATTTCTTCAATTTGTGCCTCTCCTCTCACATTTTACCATAAGCGGCAATAAAATAAACCAGGTAGAACTTTCAACACTTTACTTGGAAATCTCCTCAGCTATGTATTTAAATTTATCACTTTTGATTTCTACTCTCAAGTGCAGGGCAAAATTTTACTAAGCTTTCTAAAATTATGTAAGAAGGGGCCCCATTTCCTTTGCTTTCCAGTAATATGCCCCTCATTTCCTTCTGAGCTCTTTGGCCAGGCACGGTGGCTCACGCCTGTAATCCCAGCACTTTGGGAGGCTGAGATGGGTGGATTACCTGAGGTCAGGAGTTTGAGACCAGCCTGGCCAACATGGAGAAACCCCATCTCTACTAAAAATACAAAAATTAGCTGGGCATGGTGGTGGGCACCTGTATTCTCAGCTACTCGGGAGGCTGAGGCAGGATAATCACTTGAACCCAGAAGGCAGAGGTTGCAGTGAGCCAAGATCACTCCATTGTACTCCAGCCTGGGTGACAAGAGTGAAACTCCATGTCAAAAAAAAAAAAAAAAAAAAAGGAAATCCCATTTGCTGAGGAAAAATTCAAGCTGGGTGCAGAAATTTGCCTAAGTAACGAGGATTAGGAGTCTGTTCAAGGCAATTGAGAATTTCTCTCTGGCACCTGGATATTTGTCCAGCCTCTGCCCACTGCACACCTGCAAAGCTGCTGATGTACTTCAGGTATTTTGATATTAAAATCTGTATTAGTTTTCTATTGCTGTGTAACAAATTACTACAAATATAAAAGACTAAGCAACACAAATATATCTTTCAGATCTGTAGGTCAGACATCCGGGCACAGAAGGGTGGTTCTCTGCTCAGAGTATCATAAGGCTGAAATCAACGTGTTGGCCAGGCTGAGGTCTCATTTGAGGCTCAAGATCCACTTCCAAGCATAATAGGAATTCTGAGGGTGTAGGACCAAATTTCCCGTTTTCTTGTTGATTACTCTTCAAGGGCTACTTGTAATAACTAGAGCCTCAGTTCTTTGCCACATGTTTCATACCATAAGCCTCTTGCCACTTCAAGGTTAGCAGGAGAATTTCTCGAATGTTTTGAGTCTCTTTCTTCATGAAAGACTCAGTCTCTTTTCTGAATTATCTGATTAGTTCAGGTTTCCCCGGGATATTTTCCCCACATGCAAAATATACTCACCCCTTACCAAGAGCTTCAGAGGCTTATCCCCATCCTGGTATTGACTCAAAGTTCAGAATGTCATCATCCAAATTTAGGTCCAGGTAAACGAGGCTCTCAGAGTACAGCTTAAAATAAGCTCCTCTTGATATGAAAAAATAACATGCTTTCTGCTCCCCACATGTCAATATTTACAATGGGGTAACAGAGATTGGATAATTACAATAGACAAATCTATTTAAAAAGGGAGAAAGGCAGTTACTGATCCATAATAATTCTAAAGCCCAGCCTAGGCATAATCTGGTTACCTCTTCTCCAGGGCATAGTCCTGCTCACTGGATATGATTCTCTGTGGCTTTTGTCTCCATCCTGTGAGTAGACCCCTTATAGCTGAGCAGACCTCTCGGCTTACTTGCCCATGGTATTCCAGGAGTACCTTCTTTTTGTTCTGTCTTTAAACCTTTCATTCTAAGTAATTAAAAAAAAAATTATTGGGCTGGAAACGATGGCTCACGCCTGTAATCCCAGCACTTTAGGGGGCTGAGGAGGGTGGATCACCTGAGGTCAGGAGTTCAAGACCAGCTTGGCCAACATGGTAAAACCCTGTCTCTACCAAAAATACAAAAATTAACCAGGCATGGTGGTGCATGCCTGTAATCCCAGATACTCAGGAAGCTGAGGCAGCAGAGTCGCATGAACCGGGGAGGCAGAGGTTGCAGTGAGCTGAGACTGTACCACTGCAATCCAGACTGGGTGACAGAACAAGACTCCATCTCAAAAAAACAGAAAAAAAAATTATTGGCTTCCTTTTTGTCAAATTATACTTTACTCCCAAACCACACTCACAAATCTCTCAGATAGCATTTCCTATTCCTAGGGTCCCTGTTGCAGGAATTCAAGGACCCTGAATGGAGGGACTGGCAGAAGCCATGGCAGAAGAACATAAATTGTGAAGATTTCATGGACATTTATTAGTTCCCCAAATTAATACTTTTATAATTTCTTGTGCCTGTCTTTAATCTCTTAATCCCGTCATCTTCGTAAGCTAAGGATGAATAATGCCTCAGGACCCTGTGATGATTGTGTTAACTGCACAAATTGTTTGTAGAGCATGTGTGTTTAAACAATATGAAATCTGGGCACCTTGAAAAAGAATAGGATAACAGCGATGTTCAGGGAACAAGGGAGATAACCTTAAAGTCTGGCTGCCTGTGGACTGGGCAGGACAGAGCCATATTTCTCTTATTATTGAAAATGGGTAAGAGAAATATCGCTGAATTCTTTCCCCAGTAAGGAATATTAGTAATTAACAGCCCTGGGAAAAGAATGCATTCCCAGGGCAGGGCCTCTAAAATGGCCATTCTGGGGGTGTCTGCCTCATGCAGATGTAGATAGGGATGAAACATGCCCTAGTCTCCTGCAGCACCCCCAGGCTTGCTAGGATTAGGAAATTCCAGCCTGGTGAATTCTAGTCAGACCGGTTCTCTGCTCTTGAACCCTAACAATGTGTGCACAGCAAGACATGGAAGTTCATTAGTGACTCTAGTTTCACCCTGACCTTCTGCTTTGTGATCTTTTGTGGCCCTTGAAGCATGTGATCTCTGTGACCCACACCCTATTTGTGCACTCCCTCTCCTTTGAAAATTGCTAATAAAAACTTGTTGGTTTTACGGCTCAGGGGGCATCGGAACCTCCCGACATGTGATGTCTCCCCCAGACACCCAGCTTTAAAATTTCTCTCTTTGTACTCTTTCCCTTTATTTCTCAGACCAGCCTACACGTAGGGAAAATAGAAAAGAATCCATGATGAATTATCGGGGGTGGATTCCCCCGATAGGTCCCTGTGAGGCTGATATGGAATTGTATCAATTTTCTGGGGCTGCCATAGCAAAGTACCACAAACTGCGTGGCTTAGAAAACAGAAGTTTGCCTCACAGTTCTGGAGGTCAGAAACCCAAGATCAAGGTGTCAGCAGACTTAGTTCCTTACAAGGGCTGAGAGGAAGAGTCTGTTCCTTGCCTTTCCCTGGTTTCTGGTGGGCAACCTTTGGCTTCCTTGGCTTGTAGATGCCTCACCCCCATCACTACTCTGATGCTCACATGGTATTTTTCTTGTGTATTTACCTCCAAATTCCTCCTTTAATAAGGATGCTAATCAGAATGAATTGGGGCCTACCCTAATGATGTCATTATAACTTGGTGAAGCATTTATCTCAAAATAAAGTCACATACTGAGGTACCAGGGGTTAAGACATCTACATATGAATTTGGGGGGAGGAATACAATTCAACCCATAACAGGGACATTTTGCATAATATTCTTAGAAGACCTCTTTTATAACTGATACCATCTTCAAGGCATATAATATGGTTCAGATTTGTGTCCCCCTACAAATCTCAAGTCAAATTATAATACCCACTGTTGGAGGTGGGGCCTGGTGGGAAGTGATTGGATTATCAGGGCTGATTTCCCCATTTGATGCTGTTCTTGCGATAGAGTTCTCATGAGATCTGGTTTTTGTTGTTGTTGTTTAAGATGGAGTCTCACTCTGTCACCCAGGCTGGAGTGCAGTTGCACTGCAACCTCTGCTTCCTGGGTTCAAGCAATTCTCCTGCCTCAGCCTCCCGAGTAGCTGGGATTACAGGTGCCCACCACCACACCCGGCTAATTTTTGTATTTTTAGTAGAGACGGGTTTCACCATGTTGGCCAGGCTGGTCTCAAACTCCTGACCTCAGGTGATCTGTCCACCTCAGCTTCCCAAAGTGCTGGGATTACAGGTGTGAGCCACCATGCCTGGCTGAGTTCTGGTTGTTTAAAAGTGTGTGGTATCCCCACCTGGCAGTCCTCCTCTTGCTCTGGCCATGTAAGATGTTCCTGCTTCCTCTTCGCCTTCCACCATGATTGTAGGTTTCCTAAGACCTCCCCAGCCATGCTTCCTGTACAGCCTGCGGAACCACGAGCCAATTAAACTTCTTTTCTTCATAAATTGCCCAGTCTCAGGTATTTCTTTACAGCAGCGTGAAAATGGATTAGTACAGCATATTCTGAATATTCTTAGAAAGCTGAACCTTTCTTAGGTCTTAATAAAGGTCTCTTAGCCATGCCTCTGACTTTCCTTTTACCCTGAGATCAAATTTTATTGAGCCGGATTTGAACTTTGCCTTGAGGCCAATCCTCCCTTGAGAACCTTTTGCAAGTTAGGAAGGCCATCCTGGGCTTTCTATATTCTTTCTAAATTCTGGTGAAAAACTAAAAGTCCTTCTCTATCTCTTTTTTGTTGTATCTCTTTGCTCATAGGTAGCTAGAAAAAAGTGAGTTAAAACTTTCTGTATATCACCTAGAAAAAATTTTCCATCAACTTCAGAAGTATATGAAGCATCTTTTATATTTTCCATGTTGCCATAGGCAACAGTGTTGCTTCTGTCACAACATAAAAATAGCCCTATTTTTTTTTCTCTAGCCTCCCATAACATTGTCCTTATGTTTTTCAAGCCTTTCCCAGCAGTCTCCATAAGGCCCTTCCAACTTGCACTGAGTCTCTTTGAGTGTCTTCCAGCTCTCATTCTGCAACTTGTCTCAAAGCCAATGTCACATAGTCTTGTTTTCCTGTTAGAACAGCATCCCATTTCCTGGTACCAAATTCTGCTCTTGTTGTTTGTTGCTGCATAACAATCTACCCACAGAATTAGTGGATGAAAATGACTGTGATGTTATGCCTTACAATTTTTTGTGTCAGGAATTAGCACAAGGTTGCCAATTCTTCTGCCTCATGTTACTTTACCCAGTGGTGTTAATCTGGTAGTGGGTCTGGTCTGGAAAACACACTTTGGTGGGGATTACTGGAACCCTGGGCTAACTGACCCCTTCTTCCTTTCAGTGGAGTCTCAGGACATATCTATGTGGTCTTTCCTGAAGTCTAGTCTTAATTCTTATATGGTGGCTTCAGGTTTGGATAGGCCAAGGTGGAAACTGCTAGTCATCTTAAAGGTATAATTTGGTTTCAGTGAAGTAAGAAAAAGAAATATATTGGTTTACACAAAAGAGCCAACATCCTACTATTTTTTTCTTGTTCCAGAACTATTTCAAAGTTCCAGTATCTATGTCATAACCTAATCTGAAATGGCCTTAATTTTCTTGATATCCCATAGAATTTAATGCTATTCCATGACATTGAGATGTATTTGGATCCTTGTAATAGATTTCATTACTGTCCCAAAGCTTTACTCCTTCCTTTATCTAAGCCTTTTGTCATGTTACTTTGGTTCCCTCCACAGTAGTGAACTATTTGGAGAAGAGACCAAGATGGCTGACTAGACACAGGTAGTACGTGCCTCCAACATGGAGAAGAGCCAGAATAGTAAGTAGATACTCATACTCTGAACAGATCTTCTAAGAAAGAATGCTTGCATTCATCAGAGAAGAGATAGGAAGTGCCAAATGTAAGTAAGGATAGGGTTCAAGGCAGTTTGTCTAGTCAGGAACCAACTGAGAGCTGAGAGGAGCTCCTGGATATGGAGAAATGGTAAAAGAGAAATCTCCAGAGCTCCAAAACAGGCTTTAACAATTTGGGTTATAGGATAAACCCTTGACCCACTAGGGCATTGGGCCTGACATATGGAGCTGCCAAGTATTTACAGATGGATATTGCTTCAGAAAGGCACAATCTATGCTCACTGCAACCTCTACCTCCTGGGTTCAAGTGATTCTTGTGCCTCAGCCTCCCAAGTAGCTGGGATAACAGGCTTTGTGCTACCCTGCACCTGGCTAATTTTTATTTTTTTTCCTTCTCCTTTTTTTTTTTTTTTTTTTTTTGGTATTTTTAGTAGAGATGGGGTTTTGCCATGCTGCCCAGGCTGGTCTCGAACTCTTGGCTCAGGCAATCTGCTTGCCTTGGCCTCGCAAACTGCTAGGATTACAGGCATGGGCTGCCATGCCCAGCCCATCTCAACTTTTTATGTGAAAGTATTTACAACCTATAATGGAGTCTAACACAGGTCTCACCTAAGATATGAAGAGATAAATGCCTTAAGTTGGTATGTAGGAAATGAAAGTTTAATGATAGGAACCATGCATGGCTTGTAGGTTATATACATTCATGAGTGAGATAATATTAAAAGTTAGCCCTAAATAATGTTTAGAAACTTTTTACGGAAGATCATTACAAGTGTAATATAAGGCATGGAAAAAGCTCAGATAATCACAGTGCTTGGAAAGTGTAATGGAAAACCTTGTAATTTGAAGTCAAATGTCCGCTTGGCAAAGACTTTAACCTCTAGCTGCAAAGTAACTGGTACCAAACCTGCAGTTCTGTCACGAACACTATAAAATGGGAGAAAACATGAAACAACTATTTTCATGCATTGAGAAGCAGCAGTATATATCTATAATTCTTGAGAAGGAAGAAACTCAAGAGTTAAGCCTCTATTTGCCCTGTCCTCTGATTGGCTGCACTTCCCCTACTGTGGTGCAAGGCGGAGAAACCCAAGGAGAGGGAAACTTTTGCTAAGTGCAGTAGGACAAGGAAGACCCTCACAGTGTTAACATAAAACAAAAAAAACTTTGAGGACCAAAGGAATCAGCCAGGGATACAACTGTCTGCCAGAATATAACAACATAATGCTCTTTAAAGGAAATAGTATAATCCAGAACTTCTACAAAGTATTTCAATACTTAGCATAAAATAAATCATTAGACACACACATACAGATAGAAATGAGATGCAGAAAAAGATGTTTCATAATCAACAAAAAAACATCAAATGAAAGGAACCAATCTCTAAAACATTCAGAAGTTAAATTTAGCAGGAAAAAAGAAACACTTTAAAGCAACCATCATGAATATGTTACAGAACTTATAGGAAAACGTGGTCATAAAGGGCGAAAGAAAATCACAAAGAAATGAAAACTAAAATAAAAACAAATCTCTAGAGTGGAAAAATATAAAATCTGAAGTGGAATTTCATTGTATGACAAAAGAGAGAATCAGTGAACTTGGAGAGAGAGCAATGTAAATAATGTGTAATCTGAAGAGACATTAAGTAAATTTTAAAAATAATAAAACCTAAATTACCACTGGAACAATATTAAGCAGACTGACATACATGCAACTTGAGTCCCAGAAGGAAAGTGGTATTATATGACTTATACTGACTACAGTAGAATTAAATCATAAACAACAATATATGTGGAAATCTCATATATTTAATTTTTTTAAAAAATTAATGTTGCCAATAAATAACTCATGTGTTAGAGAAATAGCAAAAGAAAAGTTTAAAAATGCACTAAACTGAATAAAAATACAATGTATTCAAATTTGTAGTATTTAAAGGTTACCTAATAGCTTTAAATACCTATATTAGAAAATAAAAATGTTAAAATAAAGAATATAAGTATCTGCTTTAAGAAGGTAGAAAATAAAGAGTAATTTTAATCTGATGTAGAAGGAAAGAAAGGTGACAGATAAGAGCAATTTACATAATAGAAAACAATAATGAACATTAAGAACCTAAGACTTGTTCTTTGTAAAGATCAATAGAATTTTTGATAAGATCAGTAAAATTTTTACCACATTGATCAAGGAAAAAGAGAACACACTAATTATCCAGATAGGGAATTAATGAGGGCATATCACTACAAAACTACAGGTATTTGAGGAAATATCCACTTTATATCAATAAATTCAACAATTTTGATTCACTGTTCAAATCTTTTGAAAACTACAATTTGCGAACATCAAAGAAATAGAGAATCTGAGTAAGCAAATATTTAAAATTTTTAAAGTTGTTTGTGTAATTTTTATGTGAGGAAAATTCTAAGATTAACTGGTGAATTTTATCAACTATTTAAGGAAGAAATAATACCAAAGTTCTACAAATAGATTCAGAAAATAGAAAATATGAAAATATCTCCAAACTGATTTAATGAGGCCAGTATAAAAACCGTGATAAAAAACTTGGCAAAGATTCTACAAGAAGAAAAATATGACAACTATTCCTTATAAAGTTACATAAAAACTTGTCAAAATATGATCAAATCAAAGCCAAATTATATATACATATATACACACATATATAGTACATATGTGTCCTCATGTGTGTAGATGTACATCACCACATGGAGTATATTCTAGAATACACACATACATACACACAAAACCAAGAGTGATAAATTCTAGAAATGCAAAGAAAAAAATAATTCTCGAACTAAAAATGGAAAGAAACTCTCAATCTAATTTAAGGTATCACTAAACATCTACAGATAACATAACACATTACTTCTATATTTTTTACTAGCAGTTTCAAACAGTCCAATAGGCAATAAAAGGTTTTAAAAATTATAGAACATCTATAAAACAAACTAAAGCTTTATAATTTGCAGAATGCATTGTTGTAATGTAGAATATACTAAGGAACCTGCAAAACAATGTTAAAACTAATGAGGGAGCTTAGCAAGATCTCAGGGTGTATGTTCAATTTCATTTATATATATATAAGACACAAACAATTGAAAATAAAATTTATAAAATAATCATTACAATAGCATCAAAAAATTACAAAACACAGGAATAAATTTGTTGAAAAATCTTTACACTTAAACCATAAAATATTGAAGAGTAAAATTAAAGAAGATCTAAATAAATGAAATAATGTAAAATGTTCTTGGATTAGGAGACTGAGTATTGTTAAGATGTCATTTCTTTTCAAATTTAACAATTTGCAAGAGTTTTTAAAAGAAATTGGTAAAGTTATAGTATACAGTAATGTAAAAGATCAAGAGCCAAAACAATCCTGAAAATGGTGGAGACACACATCTTCTAAATTCAAGATGTAGTCTCCATTTATAGTAATCAAGTCCAAACCGTATTGGGATAAGGATAGAAAACTAGATCAAAACAGCAAAATAATTCTGCATATAAATGAGCAATTGATTTTTAGAAATATACCAAGGTAATTCAATAAATAGAGAATAGTCTTTTCAACAAATAGTGCTACAACAGCTGACTATGATAAAAATTAAACCTTGACTCAGTAACTTTATTATACAAAAGTAAGTTCAAGATAGACCATCGACTTATGCATAAAAGCACCCACTCTGAACACTGCTCTATAGAACAATACTATGCAATAGAACTTTCTGTGATAATTGAAATGTTCTATATCTGCACTGTCCAAAATGGTAGCTACTAGCCACCATGTGGGTACTGAGCTCTTGAAATGTGGCTAGTATTACTGAGAAAGTGAATTTTAATATAATTTAAATGTAATTAATTAATGCTAAAATTTAAACAGTGATATGTGGCTAGTGACTATCATTTTGGACAACATAGTTCTACAAGAAAGCTTAGGCCAATATATTTGTAACATTAAAGTAGGCAAAATTGGGGGTTGCTGGCAAGATGGCTGAATAGGAACAGCTCTGGTCTACAGCTCCCAGTGAGATCAACACATAAGGCGGGTGATTTCTCCATTTCCAACTGAGGTACCTGGTTCATCTAATTGGGACTGGTTGGACAGTGGGTGCAGCCCAAGGAGGGCGAGCCAAAGCAGGGTGGGGAGTCGCTTCACCTGGGAAGTGCAAGGGGTCAGGGAACTCCCTCTCCCAGCCAAGGGAAGCCATTGGGGACTGTACCGTGCACTCCGGCCCAGACACTGCACTTTCCCCACAGTCTTTGCTACCTGCAGACCAGGAGATCGCTTCTGGTGCCTATACTACCAGGGCCCTGGGTTTCTGGCACAAGACTGGGCGGCTGTTTGGGCACACACCGAGCTAGCCACAGGGGTGTTTTTCATATCCCAGTGACGCATGGAATGCCAATGAGACAGAATCATTCACTGCCCTGCAAAGGGAGGTGAAGCCAAGGAACCAAGTACTCTGGCTTGGTGGGTACCACCCCCATGGAGCCCAGCAAGCTAAGATCCACTGGCTTGAAATTCTCGCTGCCAGCACAGCAGCAGTCTGAGCTTGACCTGGGACACTTGAGCTTGGTAGGAGGAGGGGCATCTGCCATTGCTGAGGCTTAAGTATGCGGTTTTACCCTCACAATGTAAACAAAGCCACCCGGAAGTTCAAACTGGGCAGAGCCTACCCCAGCTCACCAAGGCCACTGTGGCCAGAATGTCTCCTCTCTGAGGAGGGCATCTCTGAAAAAAAGGCAGCAGCCCCAATCAGGGACTTATAGATACAACCCTCACCTCCCTGGAACAGAGCACCTGGGGGAAGGGGTGGTTGTGGGCGCAGCTTCAGCAGACTTAAACATCCCTACCTGGCAGCTCTGAAGAGAGCAGCGGGTCTACCAGCATAGCGTTTGAGCTCTGATAAGGGACACACTGCCTCCTCAAGTGGGTCCCTGACCCCCTGTATCCTAACTAGGAGACACCTCCCAGTAGGGGCTGACAGACACCTCATATAGGAGAGCTCTGGCTGGCATCTGGTGGGTGCCCCTCTGGGACGAAGCTTCCAGAAGAAGGAACAGGCAGCAATCTTTGCTGGTCTGCAGCCTCTGCCAGTGAGACCCAGGCAAACAGGGTCTGGAGTGGACATCCAGCAAACTCCAGCAGACCTGCAGCAGAGGGGCCTGACTGTTAGAATGACAACTAACAAACCAAAAGGAATAGTATCAACATCAACAAAAAGGACGTCCACTCAGAGAACCCATCACCAACTTCAAAGACCAAAAGTAGATAAATCCACGAAGATGGGGAGAAACCATTGCAAAAAGGCTGAAAATTCCAAAAACCAGGATGCCTCTTCTCCTCCTAAGGATCACAACTCCTCGCCAGCAAGGGGACAAAACTGGATGGAAAATGAGTTTGACAAATTGACAGAAGTAGGCTTCAGAAGGGGGGTAATAACAAACTCCTTTGAGCCAAAGGAGCATGTACTAACCCAATGCAAGGAAGCTAAGAACCTTGAAAAAGGTTAGATGAATTGCTAACTAGAATAACTAGTTTAGAGAAGAACATAAATGTCCTGATGGAGCTGAAACACACAGCACGAGAACTTTGTGAAGCATACACAAGTATCAATAGCTGAATCAATTAAGCAGAAGAAAGGATATCAGAGATTGAAGATCAACTCAATGAAATAAAGCGAGGAAACGAGATTAGAGGAAAAAGAGTGAAAAGAAATGAACAAAGCCTCCAAGAAGTATGGAACTATGTGAAAAGACCAAATCTACATTTGATTGGTGTACCTGAATGTGACAGGGAGAATGGATCCAAGTTGGAAAACAGGCTTCAGGATATTACCCAGGAAAACTTCCCCAACCTAGCAAGACAGGCCAACATTCAAATTCAGGAAATACAGAGAACACCACAAAGATACTCCTCAAGAAAAGCAAACACAGGACACATAATTGTCAGATTCACCAAGGCTTAAATGAAGGAAAAAATGTTAAGGGTAGCCAGAGAGAAAGGTCGGGTTACCCATAAAGGGAAACCCATCAGACTAACAGCGGATCTCTCAGCAGAAACCCTACAAGCCAGAAGAGAGTGGGGGCCGATATTCAACATTCTTAAAGAAAAGGATTTTCAACCCAGAATTTCACATCCAGCCAAACTAAGATTCATAACTGAAGGAGAAATAAAATCTTTTCCAGACAAGCAAATGCTGAGAAATTTTGTCACCACCAGGCCTGCCTTACAAGAGCTCCTGAAGGAAGCACTAAACATGGAAAAGAACAACTGGTAGCAGCCACTGCAAAAACATACCAATTTGTAAAGACCACTGAAGCTATGAAGAAACTGCATAAACAAATGGGCAAAATACCCAGGTGGTATCATAATGGCAGGATCAAATTCACACATAACAATATTAACCTTAAATGTAAACAGGCTAAATGTCCCAAGTAACAGATACAGACTGGCATTTGGATAAAGAGTCAAGACCCATCGGTGTGCTGTATTCAGGAGACAATTCTCATGTGCAAAGACATGCATAGGCTCAAAATAAAGGGATGGAGGAATATTTACCAAGCAAATGGAAAGCAAAAAAAAAAAAAAAAAAAAAAGCAGGGGTTGCAATCCTAGTCTCTGATAAAACAGACTTTAAACCAACAAAATCAAAAGAGGCAAAGAAGGCCATTACATAATGGTAAAGGGATTAATTCAACAAGAAGAGCTAACTGTACTAAATATATAAGCACCCAATACAGGAGCACTCAGATTCATAAAGCAAGTACTTAGAGACCTACAAAGAGACTTCGATTCCCACACAATAATAGTGGGAGACTTTAAAACCCCACTGTCAATATTAGACAAATCAATGAGACAGAAAATTAACAAGGATATGCAGGACTTGAACTCAGCTCTGGACTAAGCGGACCTAATAGACATCTACAGAACTCTCCACCCCAAATCAACAGAATATACATTTTTCTCAGCACCATATTGCACTTATTCTAAAATTGACCACATAATTGGAAGTAAAACTTTCCTCAGCAAATGTAAAAGAACAGAAACCACTACAAACTGTCTCTCAGACCACAGTGCAATCAAATTAGAACTCAGGATTAAGAAGCTCACTCAAAACCACACAACTACGTTGAAACTGAACAACCGGCTCTTGAATGACTACTGGGTAAATAATGAAATGAAGGCAGAAATAAAGATGTTCTTTGAAACCAATGAGAACAAAGACACAACATACCAGAATCTCTGGGACTCATTTAAAGCACTGTGTAGGGGGAAATTTACAGGACTAAATGCCCGCAAGAGAAAGCAGGAAAGAGCTAAAATAGACACCCTAACATCACAATTGAAAGACCTAGAGAAGCAAGAGCAAACACATTCAAAAGCTAGCAGAAGGCAAGAAATAACTAAGATCAGAGCAGAACTGAAGAAGACAGAGACATGAAAACCCCTTCAAAAAATCAATGAATCCAGGAGCTGGTTTTTCGAAAAGATCAACAAAATAGATAGACCACTAATAAGACTAATAAAGAAGAAAAGAGAGAAGAATCAAATGGATGCAATAAAAAATGATAAAGGGGATATCACCACCAATCCCACAGAAATACCATCAGAGAATAATATAAACACCTCTACACAAATAAACTAGAAAATCTAGAAGAAATGGATAAATTACTGGACACATACACCCTCCTAAGACTAAAGCAGGAAGAAGTTGAATAGACCAATAACAGGTTCTGAAATTGAGGCAGCAATTAATAGCCTGCCAACCAAAAAAAGTCCAGGACCAGATGGATTCACAGCTGAATTCTACCAGAGGTACAAAGAGGAGCTGGTACCATTCGTTCTGAACCTATTCCAAACAATAGAAAAGGAGGGAATCCTCCCTAAGTCATTTTATGAGGCCAGCATCATCCTGATACCAAAGCCTGGCAGAGACACAACAAAAAAAAGAAAATTTCATGCCAATATCCCTGATGAACATCGATGTGAAAATCCTGAATAAGATACTGGCAAACCGAATCCAACAGCACATCAAAAAGCTTATCCACCGTGATCCAGTTGGCGTCATCCCTGGGATGTAAGGCTGGTTCAACATATGCAAAGCAATAAACGTAATCCATCACATAAACAGAACTAATGATAAAAACCACAATATTATCTCAATAGATGCAGAAAAGGCCTTTGAGAAAATTCAACAGCCCTTCATGCTAAAAATTCTCGATAAACTAAGTATTGAAGGAACATAGCTCAAAATAATAAGAACTATTTATGACAAACCCACAGCCAATATCATACTGAATGGGCAAAAACTGGAAGCATTCCCTTTGAAAACCAATACAAGACAAGGATGTCCTCTGTCACCACTCCTATTCAACATAGTATTGAAAGTTCTAGCCAGGGCAATCAGGCAAGAGAAAGAAATAAAGGGTATTCAATTAGGAAAAGAGGAAGTCAAATTGTCTCTGTTTGCAGATGACATGATTGTTTATTTGGAAAACCCCATCATCTTAGCCCAAAATCTGCTTAAGCTGATAAGCAACTTCAGCAAAGTCTCAGGATACAAAATCAATGTGCAAAAATCACAAGCATTCCTATACACCAATAACAGACAAACAGAGAGCCAAATCATGAGTGAACTCCCATTCACAATTGCTAGAAGAGAATAAAATACCTAGGAATCCAACTTACAAGGGATGGGAAGGACCTCTTCAAGGAGAACTACAAACCACTACTCAAGGAAATAAGAGATGCAACAAACAAATGGAAAAACATTCCATGCTCATGGATAGGAAAAATCAATATTGTCAAAATGGCCATACTGCCCAAAGTAATTTATAGATTTAATGCTATCCCAATCAAGCTACCATTGACTTTCTTCAAATAATTGAAAAAAATTAATTTAAATTTCATATGGAACCAAAAAAGAGCCTGCATAGCCAAGACAATCCTAAGCAAAAAGATCAAAACTGGAGTCATCATGCTACCTGACTTCAAACTGTACTACAAGGTTAGAGTAACCAAAACAGCATTGTACTGGTACCAAAACAGATATATAGACCAATGGAACATAACAGAGGCCTCAGAAATAACACCACACATCTACAACCATCTGATCTTTGACAAACCTGACAAGAACAAGCAGTGGGGAAAGGATTCCCTATTTAATAAATGGTGTTGGGAAAACAGGCTAGCCATATGCAGAAAGCTGAAACTGGATCCCTTCCTTACATTGTATACAAAAATTAACTCAAGATGGATTAAAGACTTAAACATAAGACCTAAAACCATAAAAACCCTAGAAGAAAACCTAGGCAATACCATTCAGGACACTGGCAGGAGCAAAGACTTCATGACTAAAACACCAAAAGCAATGGCAGCAAAAGCCAAAATAGACAAGTGGGATCTAATTAAACTAAAGAGCTTCTGCACAGCAAAAGAAACTACCATCAGAGTTAACAGGCAACCTATAGAATGGGAGCAAATTTTTGCAATCTATCCATCTGACACAAGGCTAATATCAAGAATCTATAAATAACTTAAACAAATTTACAAGAATAAAAACAAAAAACCCCATAGAAAAGTGGGCAAAGGATATAAACAGACACTTCTCAAAATGAGACATTTATGCAGCCAATGAACATATGAAAAAAAGCTCATCAATACTGGTAATTAGAGAAATGGAAATCAAAACTACAATGAGATACCATCTCATGCCAGTTAGAATGGCGATTATTAAAAAGTCAGGAAACAACAGATGCTTGAGAGGATTTGGAGAAATAGGAACACTTTTACACTGTTGGGAGTGTAAATTAGTTCAACCATTGTGGAAGACAGTGTGGCGATTCCTCAAGGATCTAGAACTAGAAATACCATTTGACCCAGCAATCCCATTACTGGGTATATACCCAAAGGATTGTAAATCATTCTACTATAAAGACACACGCATGTGTTTATTGCGGTACTATTCAAAATAGCAAAGACTTGGAAACAACCCAAATGCCCATCAATGATAGACTGGATAAAGAAAATGTGGCACAGACACACCATGGAATACTATGCAGCCATAAAAAAGGATGAGTTCATGTCCTTTGCAGGGACATGGATGAAGCTGGAAACCATCATTTTCAGCAAACTAATGCAAGAACAGAAAAGCAAACACCACGTGTTCTCACTCAAAAATGGGAGTTGAACAATGAGAACACATGGTCACAGGGAGGGGACCATCACACATTGGGGCCTCTTGGTGGGTGGGGGACTAGCGGAGGGATAGCATTAGGAGAAATACCTAATATAGATGATGGGTTGATAGGTGCAGCAAACCACCATGTCACGTGTATACCTATGTAACAAACATGCACATTCTGCACATGTACCCCAGAACTTAAAGTATAGTAATAAAAAGAAAAAGTAGGCAATAGTCTTATAGGACAGAAAAGGTACTAATACTATAGGAAAACAAATATGTATAATTTGTTAAAATGTGTATATATATACACATTTTAAACATCATCAAAAATGACTTTTCATCAAATGATACCATTAAACCACACTGGGACAAAATAGCACAATACGTATATCTGATTATCTGATGATGGACCTTGATGAAGAGTAATGAACTCCTACAATTCAATATTGATTCAAATCCACAGAATCTAATATATAATGGAATAATTTGAATAATTTGAAGGCTAAATCAAAATCAAAGACTAAACTTGGTCTAACTCCAGAATTTATGTATGTTCTTTACATTCCACACTCATAATCTAACTAAAGAGGCAAGCTCTTTTTTGAATGTAAATATCATTTATTTTATTCTCTGCAAACAATGCTCAGTAGTATTCAATTAAAAAATATAGAACACATGTAAAGGCAAGATAACCAAGCGCAGAATGCTACACATTTTGGAATTATCAGAGTGGCTTGTAACTAACCATGATCAAATGTCAAAAGACTTTATGGAAAATAAACAGAATATGGAAGAATCTTAGCAAAGAGATACAAGGGCCAAATGGAAGAAGTAGAAGTGAAATATGGTAAGGAATTTTCATTACAAGTTAATTGAGCGACTAGATAGAGCCGAGGAAGGCAGAGGCCCCTGTGGCTCTTGTCTGACCCACATCCAGTTACGGCTGCCTGATCATTTTTCTGGCACTGGGAACCTGATTTCATAGTCTCCCTGACATCCCACAAAAAACCCAGCCTGAGACAGCCCCTAGTTCTTCAGACAGAAGCCACAAGTTGTTTTTTTTTTTTTTTAAGTTCTGGGATACATGTGCTGAACATGCAGGTTTGTTACATAGGTATACATGTGCCATGGTGGTTTGCTGCATCTATCAACCCATCATCTAGGTTTTAAGCTCTGCATGCATTAGGTATTTGTCCTAATGCTCTCCCTCCCCTTTCCTCCCACCCACTGACAGGCCCCAGTGTGTGATGTACCCCTCCCTGAGTCCATGTGTTCTCATTGTTCAGCTCCCACTTATGAGTGAGAACATGTGCTGCTTACCTTTCTGTTCCTGTGTTAGTTTGCTGAGGATGATCGTTTCCAGCTTCATCCATGTCCCTGAAAGGCACAAATTTAATACATCGCCATAATAGGAAACAAGTTCAACGATTTTTACTTACAGCTCCTGGGAAAGAAGGGCATGAGCCAGAAAATCAGTCCTTTGTTTCAAGGTCACATGAGGCAGGAATGAAGAGTCAGGCAGAGAGAGAGAAAAGCGCAGGGCAATTAGCGATATATATATGGCAATATGGTGTGGGTCACTTTAAGTTTATGGGCAAATGCCTGAATGGTCCATTTAAAGGAATCCTTGGAAAAGTGGGATTGCAGTCTGCTAGGTCCTGGAGATGCCTTTTAAATTCTTACCTCTGGTGACCAGATTGAGCAACCTAGCTGTGGTGTAGAATTGGAAACTGTGTCAAGGGTGACTGAGCCCTACTTCTGGTAAAAATGAAACTCATATTCAAAATAGTTGACAAGGCAACATGAAGTTATTGTAGTAGCATTCACTATAAAAGAATTAGTGAAAGTGAATAGAAGTCAATAGAAGTTATCAAAACTGAAACATGGAAAAAAAGTAGAAGCAATAAAGTTTCCCAGATCTGTGAGAAATATCCAATTTTATTATGCTATTATTAAATTCCCAGGAAGAGAAAAAGAGAAAAGAATAGTAAAATATTTGAAGAGATAGTGGCAATGCACAATTAATATAAAACATCAGTTTAGAGGTCCAAGAAGCTCAGTAGATTTCAAGCAGAATAGAGGCAAAGAAAAGAAAACTATACTTAGGACAGGTATCACAGATAAAGAGAAAAATCTTGATAGAGATCACAGATAAAGTATATTTTATACAGGGGAACAATAATAAGAATGAGAACAGATGCTTCATTAGAAACATGGAGACTAGAAAATAATAGAACATCAGATTTAAGCGGTAAGATAAAAAATTCTCAACATATAATTTAATATCCAGTGAAATGTTGATCAAGAATGAAGACAACGCTATTTTTAGATTGGAAAACACAGGATCTGAAAACACATATGTCTTTGGAAGACCTGCATTACAAGAAATAATAAAGATGTCCTTGAGAGCCTTTTATCTGAGTCCAGATAAAAACCTCTTTATTCACAAAGAAATGAAGGCAACTGAAGAATAAAAAAAATTCAATGAATATAAAGGTATTTTACACATGTTTTACTGAAGGTCTTTAAGATATTGTTGATGGTTAGAAGTAAAAGTAAAATAATATCTTGTTTGATTTATAGTTTAGGTAGAAATGAAATGCGTGAAAAATGCAGAAAGGGCAGGAGGGGAATAATTGGAAGTACGTTGTAAATTTCTTACATTGTTTATGAAGTAGTACAATATTTTTGAAGTGATATCATGAAAATTAAAACTATATATTATGTATAACCATAAAAGCAACAAAGGACATAAAAGAGAATAAATAAAATACTTGATACACCCAAACAAGCAAGAAAGTGAGAAATAGATAAACCAAGGGCAAGTAGAAATGAAATACCAGATTGGCTACTCTCCCACTCTGGAGATCCTTAATTGCAGATTCAAATTCTTTTTGCCATGCAAGGTAACGTACCTACAGGTTCTGGGAGTCTTTGTGGACATATTTAGAGGGCTATTTTCTAAAGTCTACCATAACCAAATACAGATTATTTATAAGAAACACACCTTAAATAGAATACAATGATACAGGCAAGTTGAAAGTAAGTACAGTGATGTGTTGCTTAATGATGAGGATATGTTCTAAGAAATGCATTTTTAGGTGATCTTAGGTGATTTTGTTATTGTGCAAACATCATAGAGTGAATTTATACAAACCTAGATGGTATAGCCTACTATGTACCTAGGCTACAAAACTATACATCATGTTCCTATACTGAATATTGCAGGCAATTGTGACACAATGGTATTTGTGTACTTAAACAGAAAAGATATGGTAAAAATGCCATATTATAATCTAATGTGACCATTTTCATTTATGCAGTCTGTTATTGATTGAAATGTCACTATGTGATGTATGACTATACTATATAAAAACTAAATAAGATGAAGATTATCAGGCTGTACTAATATCAAAAAATGCAGACTTCAAATGAAGAGTATTACCAGAGATAAAATGCAACATAATAATAAAAGCATCATTTAATCAAGAAGATAGAAAATCTCATATGTTTATGGAACTATTTGAAACCCCCAAATATATGAAACAAAAAGAACAGAACTATAGGGAAATATATGCACAATAATATTGAATATTTAACATTACTCTCTGTAACTGATAGAACAAGTATATAAGAAATCAGTAAGTATGTAGGTGTCTTAACCAACACTCTAAGTCACTTGACTCGTTCTAACTTAGTAAGTACAGTACCCAACAAAAACACAGACTGTTTTGGTGTCCTAGATTTTAGCCTGTGCCATAAAACAATTCCCAATAAATTTCAAGGATTAAAAATCACACAAGAATATATTCCATGATCAAAATGGCCTTAAATTGAAAACATATAACCAATAAGATTTTATATAAAACTTCAAATATCTGGACATTAGCAGCATACTTGTAAGTAAGCCATGAGTCAAAGAAGAAGGAGTTAAAAATATGATGTTAAAATACACAAAGGGAGTTAAAATATTATGAACCAACTGATGATTAAAATGCAGTGTATCAAAAGTTGAAGGCTGCAACTAGGGTGATACTCAGAGGGTACACTGCTGTTTTAAATGATAACATTACTGTTCAAAAAGCAGAAAGATATAAATTCAGTGATTTATGCTGCCATCTAAAGAAGGTATAAAAAGAAGAGCAAAGTAAAATCACAATAAATAAATGAAAGTAAATAACAATAGAAAACAAGAGCAAAAATCAAGAAAGTAGAAAACATAGAAACAGTAGAGATAATGGACTGAAGTTTGTTCTTGAAAATAATTTAAAGCTAATAGACAAAAGAAAAAAGAGATGATAAATTACCAATATTGGAAATAAAAGATATCACTGTTTCTCAGGAATAAAAGGGAAAATAATTGAATATTATAAACAGTCCTTGATAATAAGTTCAAATGTTATATGAAATGGAGATAATTTTATAAAACAACTTATCAAAACTGACATGACTAGAAGTAGGAAATAGAAATAGCCCTATAATCTATTGAAGAAATTGAATTTTCAATTAAAATAACTTCCAACACATGCAGAAAAAAAAAATTTTTCAGGGCCAAGTGGTTTCACTGGCGAATTGTGTTAAACAGTAATGAAGAAATAATGCCCACCCTGAAACACACTGTTTCAGAAAATAGAGGAGGAAGCACACTGGCCAACTCATTTTATGAATACAGTAGATCCATGATACAAAAACCAGACAAAGACATTACTGGAAATGAGAATTACAGACATATAACCCTTATGACTACACCTAAAAGAAAACAAAAGCTGGCCGGGTGAGGTGGCTCGCTCCTGTAATCCCAGCATTTGGGGAGGCTGAGGCAGATGGATTGTTTGAGTCCAGGAGTTCAAGACTAGTCTGGGCAACACGGCGAAATCCTGGCTCCACTAAAAATAGAAAAAACTAGCTGGGCATGGTGACATGCACCTATAGTCCCAGCTACTCAGGAGGCTGAGGTAGGGGAATCACCTGAACCAAGAGGTTGAGGCTGCAGTGAGCCAAGATCATGCCACTCCACTCCAGCTTGGGCAACAGAATGAGACCCTGTCTCAAAAAAAAAAAAAAAAGCTTAAAATAATAGAATATCGATTATACAATATATAAACATGCAAAGTATATAATCCAAAAGTATATAATTGAATAGTTTTTATCCCAAAAATGCAATTAACACTGCAAAATCATTCAATGTAGTTAACCATATTAATAGGTTTTAAAAAATCACATGACAATTGAACTATATGCATAAAAAATCTGACAAAATCACGACTCCTTCAAAATAAAATCTCTCAAGAGGCTAGGAACTGAAGTACAATTCCTTCAATCTGAAACAGTATTATGTAAAACCTACAGCCAACATAATGATAACATATGGTAGGCTTTCCTTGTAAGGTCAATAATAAGAAAACAGGTACTTAGGCAACATTGTACCAGAAGTTGTATCTAGTTCAATAAGCCAGGAAAGAAAACTAAAGGTATTAAAGTCTGAGAGGAAGACATAATATTGTTTTTATTTGTAGGTGACATGACTGTACATGTAGAAATCCCAGGAAATCTAAAAGAAAAAAAAAACTACTAAAATTAATAATAGCATTTAGTAATATTGCAGGGCAGAGTGTCAATATGCAAAAATTAATTGTACGCAAAAATCAATTTTATTAGTATATATTAGGAATAAATAATATGAATCAAGAAATTTGAAACTACAATGATGTTCTACAACATCAAGTACAAATTTAACAAAGTGTGTCTGAGAATACTACACTGAAAAGTATAGAACAGTTATGAGAAAAATTAAATGAAACCTAACGTAATAATAAGGTACTCCATGTTTATGCATTGGATGTTCTAATAGTATAAAGATGTCAATTATCTTAAAATTGATCTTTAAATTAAATGAAATACCAATCAAAATCCCAGCAGGGTTTATTTTTGTAGAAATGATCAAGCTGATTCCAAAATTTATATGGAATTACAAACAATCTAAAATAGATGAAACATCTTCATGGAAAAAAAAAACAGACATATTACTTGACTTCAAAATTTATTATAGAGCTATACCAACCAAAATGACAAAGCGGATTATATGCATCGAAACTCATTGTATGTACTCTTAGGGCATGTGTAGTTAACAATGAGAAAGATTTTTGTCTCAATAAGAAAAATATCAAAAGTCATCCAAAGTAAATTACAAAAAACATGTAAAGGACCATGCCTGAATCTTCTTGTTTAATTTACAGACTTGGGAGGTCACCTAAATTTCCAGAGGTTTATTTCTTAATCCAGGATAAAAATGCATACTACCAAAAAAAATCATTGAATTTTATTCACAGAATTAAAGTTGCAAAACCTCTTCCAGTCCTTCTTTACCTGGTATATTATTAGATGGTGATATTTTCAGTTAGTCTGGCCCAGGATATGACATCACAGGCCTGGCCACTAGACTCCCAAATTGTGCCTTCCACTAAGTCACATTAAAAACGGAACTTTTGGGTCTACATTTCTGAGACTTGGATATCTTCTTTATGATGCTTTATTTAAATTGAGTATTCTCTAGGGACTGTGCCTTAGAGACTAATTTTATTGCTGGCTTGGAGAGGCAGAAATGGGAAATATATAAAATGTATATGTTAATATATACTTCCAATATCCTAAGTGAGCTTCTGCTAATGAGGACCACCCTCTTCTTGAAACTCTCTTCTCATTCACCCCACTGCTTGCTCCTAATTCTCCTTTCTGACAAATATTTCTGTGTCTTTTTCATTGTTTCTACTCCTTCTTCCCCTATTCAACACCCGTGTTCTTATCTTTCTTTAAAAATCTATATACGGTTTCCTTCATTTCCACGTCATCTGTGATCATATATATAACTGATATGGTTTGGCTCTGTGTCCCCACCCAAATCTCATTTCCAGTTGTAATCCTCATGTGTTGAGGGAGGGACCTGCAGGAGGTGATTGGACCATGCTGTTCTTACGAAAGTGAGGGAGTTCTCAGGAGATCTGATGGTTTTTAACTCTGTGAGTTCCCTCTCACCTGCCGCCGTGTAAGACGTGTCTTGCTTCCCCTTCACTTTCTGCCATGATTGTAAGTTTGCCAAGACTTCCTCGGCCATAAAGAACTGTGAGCAGATTAAACCTCCTATCTTTATAAACTACTCAGTCTCAGGTAGTATCTTTATAGCAGTGTGAGAACGGACTAATACAATATAGATTTTAATTTCAGCTCTGTTCTTTTGCCAAAGTTTCAGATCCATATTTTTAACTGATTATTTAGCACATCCTGTTTTCCAGGCTCAGGCACTTTACTTTTGGCCCATCTCAAAGGAAGCTCACAACCACCTCCCAAACCATTTCTCTCTCTCTCTCTTTTTTTTTTAATCTAAATGAATAGCATCAGCATTGCCTAGCTGTCTGAGATATCAACATTCATCCCTGTCTGTCACCTTTCATAGTTCAAGTTCTTATCTGTTTCAATTCTAAAATCATTTATTTAATCCTTGACATTGACATAGTCAAAATAGCCTTTTAACTGATCTTTGTTTCATAGGCTTAGCAATTTCCACAATATGGTCCCTGGACCAGCTGCATTGCCTTCTCTGGGAACTTCTTGGAGACCTGCTGAATCAGAAACTCAGAGGGTCAAGCCCAGTAATCTGTGATCATATTAGTAAGTCCTCCAGGTGATTCTGATTCATACCACTCTCAAGCACAAGCAAAGCAATGATTAGCAGCATGGTATTCCATTGTCCTTGGTTAAGGTTCAGGAGACCTGGGTTCAGGTGAGTGTGTGTAAGACATTTCACCTAACTGCATTTTAATTTCTTCATTTGTTCATCAAATGGGTTTCATTAGATTATTTTTATGATAGCTAAAAGAAGATTTCTGAATGCTTTTTAGGTGATAAGCCCTGTGCTAAATGTTGGTATGTATTAACTCATTTAATACTAAACAAGAAAATTTTCGAAGTAGTTATTTTTATTACCATTGTAAACATTAATAAACTGAAATATAGAGAGATTACTTCCCCAAATCACACAGCCACAAAATGAAGTCATGATTAAAATGAAGCTAATGCCAGTGAGCATCCTCTTCAACTCTGCCCTCTCCTACCTCTATAGCACTCTTCACTGGGCAAACAGAGTGGCACAAGCAAGCCAAGTATCTGAGGCAAATAAAACATTGTATATAACGTAGGTATTACATACACATGGTATTAGAATTCAAGCCAAGTGAAATAGTCTTATGTTTTGATAGAGCACTGAACTGTTCAACTCAGAAAATTGGACGATGGATGATGAACAGCACCAGAGAGTTGATTCCCATTACATTTCCCAAAGGCAAAGGTGCTTGGGGGAATTTCTCTGAATAAATATGCCATTCTGCATATTTTAAAAGTACATTTAATCTCTTCTAGTAATTAGTCTGCAGATGTGTATTTCAGGATTGAGTGAGTAAATTAGTTTAAAGAGTTTGCTAATTTTTGTAGAGAACCAAGGCCAAATCTGTTATTTCCTGAGGTTGAAATATAACACAGGCACTGAAACATTTTTGTAGTTCAAAATAAAGAATGTTGGGTGAATAGTTTAGGAGAAGTATACTTGCAAAGATAAACTGATTTTTTTTTCCATGAGGACAGTACTTCTTTAAATATATTACAGTTAGGGGAAGAGAGTTCCTTCTCAGCTTGTTTCCCCTAGAGTGTTCCCTTCTCTTTGACTGAAAAGAGCAATCCCTTGTTTCCTAAGCCTGACACCTAAGACTAATTGTGGACATGTCACTTTTCCTCTCCTTGAATTTCTACTCCATTACTTGCCTAGATCTTACTTCCTAATGTTCAAATTCAACCACTTTTCTATTAATATATCTTTACTGCCATCACCCTAATTCAAAATCCCACTACCATTGGCCCAAGCTTCTGTGTTCCTGAATGTGTTCCCATTGAGAATTCCATCTTTTTAAAACACAAATTGAACAGTGTAATGCCATATGTAAAACCTGATGGTAGTGTACTACTACTTTATTGATGTTGTAATGAATTACCACAAATTTAATGGCTTAAAACTACACAAGCTTATTATCTCAGTTTTTGTAGGTCAGAAGTCTGGAAGAGCTCAGCTAAGTTCTTTTCTGCAGGGTTTCTCTAGACTGAAACTAACACATTGGCAGAGTTAGAAGATGCTTACAGTTATCTGGATAAAAAACGTGATAGTGGTTTGAGCTAGTGTGGGAACAGTAGTATAAAGTAAAGTTGAGGATTATTTTACAGGAGAATATAGAACTCTCTGGGACTTATAACAAGAATAGTATTCATTACAGGTAAACTAGGCAACCAAACAATTTGCTTGGTTTCCAAAAAACGTAAGTATGATTTGACAAGAATCAAACGTGTCTTGTTTCCTATGGAATATGATATATCTTTTCACTTTGCAAATGTCCCAGCACTTTTCTGATTTCTCTATATACAGTGTACAATCCAGTCATTCTGAACCTTTCACCATTCCTTGAAGAAATGGATAAAGTGAATGATCCATAATTTATGCCTGGTGTTTCCAGTGCCTAGAGCGTAAACTTCTCTGCATGGAAAAATCATGAAAGAGCCAGCTCAAACGTCACCTCCTCCATTAATCTTTCCCTTACTAGCCCCACAAACAATGCATTTATTTCCATTTAAGGGCCCCCAAGGCACTCTGCTCATACTGCTATCACGTGACTTGTAATTTACAGTTGATATAGGGTTGAGTTGTGTTGTGTACTTCTGTGCTTCTCCATTGTAATAGTCAAGGTTATTTTGAGAAACAGACCTGTAGGATGGATGGATAGATAGAGACACAGATAAAGGAATTGAATACAAGGAATTGGGTAGCACAATTATGGAGGGTGAGTCCATGATCTGCCATCTGCAAGCTGGAGCCCCAGGACACCTGGTGGTGTATTTTCAGTCTGAGTGTAAGAGAAGATCAATATTCTAATGAAAAGGTAGGCAAGGGAGAGAGAATTTTTTTTTACCCAGACTTTTGTTCTATTCAGGCCTCCAACACACTGGATGAGGCTAACCCATGTTGGGAGGGCAATCTGGTATACTCAGTTCACCAATTCAAATACTATTCTCTTCCAAAGGCTTTCTCACAGACACACCTAGAATAACGTTTAAGCAAGTATCTGGGCATCCCACATCCCAGACACATAACTGATGTCCACTGACACCATGATTTTCACATTAGGAATAATGTTCTACGTATTTTTCCATTCCCTGGCAGTGTCAGGTATATAGGAGGAGCTCAGGAAATGCTTGTTAAATAAACCAAAACATTTTGTTAATATTCTAAGTACCCCAGCCTTTTGGGTAAGAAAAAACATACCATAAAAAACAAATAAAGTAAGAACATTATTCTAGCACTGATCCACTTGGTAGTTTGATGGCTATGCATGCACCACACACAACTGACAAACTTAAAGATAAGCAAAGAGACCAGCTATTTCATTTTACAGCATTCATTTGTGGAGTAATAAATGAAATCTTGGTTAAGCAAAGATATATTAACATGCATGGTAACCACATGTGGGTTGAATGTCAGCTCTTTCAACAGTCTAGCCTTGTTTTGTCCTATCTGGAATGGTAAGATCCTGGTAGGCAGAACCCCTTCAAAGCGTCCTAGAATCCCTCACCAGTTTTAGTTAAGCTCTCTTTTAGTTGGCTCTTTAAATGGAACTCCTGAGAAAATAATAAACTTCTGTATTCTTATTCTTGTTCTTGTTATTCTTATTCTCTCCTTCCTTTTCCTTCTTCTTCTTGTTCTTCTCCTCTCTTCCTGTCCTTCTCTCTCTCTTGTTTATAGAGATGATTATTATAGAGTGTTATGTCAACTAAGTAAATCATAGCAGAAAAAATTCAAAACCCTTTAGAAATTAACCATTACCCAGTGATCCATTTTGTGCAGTCTAAATACTCTAAGGAAGGTGTTTTCCAAACTGCAATAACCCTGTTTAACCAAAACTGGCATTTCTAGGTTTGATGTACAGTGGAGCAATTGGAGTGCATTATGATCCTAAGATTTAGGGACATAATTATAATATGTAGTAGACATTGATAGTATAAATAAAGTGGAAACTGAGCTAAAATTTATGAACTGAATATTAATATGTTAATACACTGCTATATAAAGAGAACTGCCAGCCAAAACTGTATCGAGCCCTAAACAATGAGTTCCTGCATCCTCATACAGACTTGTGGAGCAAAAATGTTATAATACTCTCATAAGGCCACATCAAAGTGTTATAGCTACAAAAGAGCTTTGCTTGAACATAAAGCATCAAGGTTTATTATGCTGAGCAAATAATACTAATAAAACTTAAGAATAAATTGAATCTTGAAAAATTGATAGTTTTCCAGAAATACGTCTACCATATAGTGTGGAGAGGGAAATTAGGTAACTACAACATCCTTACAGTGTACTGAGCTAGATGAAAATTTATTTCCTAATTGGAAAATAAAACTAATACTTTACCATAATGCATAGAACTATAGAACTGGAAGCTAGAAGGCGATTAGTAATAAATAGGTCCAAGTCCCACATTTCATAGATCAGGGCTCTGAGGGCTAGAATTAGAATAGTAGTCATTCTTTTATTTAGGAAAAATATCTAGTAAACTACAATAAGAATTAGTTCTATATTAAAAGTCCAACATTTTTATTCCTATCCTTTAAAATCACTTAAATACTACATTTATTTTGCTCTTCTCGGAAAAGAATGGCCATTGTAACAAATTCAGGAATAAAATGTCGGTATACAGACACTCAAAGGATCCAAGACTCTATGCCTGACAGATTGTAGCACACTAAGTTTCACAGAACAGCCAGTGCAGAGGTTGTAGGTATTGGTCCGTTTGGGGCTGGATAACAGTTCAGAGAAATCTGGTCAATTGTCTGTTATGACCATCAAGACAAACAACTGGTCTATCAATAGGCTGAATATGTATTGTAGTTTTTACGCAATAGAAGAAATACATATAACAGCTGAAAAAAATCACAAAGTCTATTCATGTCTTGTGTTCTTAAGGTGAAACTGCCCCCCTCCCAATACCTTAGTCAGACTTACCAAAGAAATCCGATTCCTTTGACTCTTTCTTATGGTTTTCCACCTGAATGCACAAGATGATGGGAGGCAAGAATTCATATTTAAACAAGTAATATTTAAGACCACAGAAGGCAAAAAAGCAGATTATTTATCTGTAATTGATCTGCCTTTAACTCATTTATACCTATGTGGGGATTCCCAGAAGTTAGTTCCCTGAAGACATGTTAGGGACTTATATATCTCTCACTACCCACTCTTTCAGAATGTTATTACTGATGTAGATCAATGAATCCTTTCTTACTGTCTCCAAGTCCAGCATACATATCTCTTCTCTCTTTCTTCATCCTAGGTCTTTGCCAGGTATTTTTTCATTATTTAAGAATCTGAGAGAATGAAGATTCTGGAATATTTGTGGTGGGAGAAGACAAGAAATAATTATAAGCCCAAGCAATTGAACTTTTAAAGTTACCAAGAAAATTGCTTTAGCATGGGGCAGAGAACTATGCAGCCACAATGCCTATTTATATAAGTATTAATTGATGCCACATTTTCTCACAATGTTGCTTCATTGTAGAAACTTGCCCATCAGAAGCTACATGAAGACGACCCTTCTCATGGAGATAAAGCACCATGTAGTGCAATGATCCCCTAAATTGGTGAGGCTGAATTAGCCTTGGGGTGGGAAGGAGACCATCTAGATTGTCACATAAACACAATGAGAGAGAACTTTTTAAAATCCCTTGTTCCAAAAGAAAGACAAAGACTAGCTCAAACTCCTAAAAATAATCAATATCAATTTATAACAACAAGAATTAACAGAAAGCAAGATAAAGAAAGCAGTATAGAATCTTGTCCCTTCTGTCATCATCTGACTAAATGCCAATAATGGATATGTAATAAAAGAAATACAGGGGAGATTCGAGCAAGATGACTGACTAGATGCAACAAGGTAGAACAGCTGCCACTGAGGGACTGAGAGGACTGGTGTACCCCTAACAGATCTTCGGAGGAAAGGCACTGAGAGTGGACAGAGGGAAGACATAGCAGCTGGGCTGAAGCAGGAGGAAGCTGGGAACCCTGCATGAGGCTACTAAGCACCAGGACTCACTTGTGGCCCAAAATGATTCCAGGCGAATGGGTGAGTTGAACTGGTAAGGGGGAGGGATAGCATTAGGTGATACATGTAATGTAAATGATGAGTTAGGGGTGCAGCACACCAACATGGCACATGTATACATATGTAACAAACCTGCACGTTGTGCATATGTACCCTAGAACTTGAAGTATAATAAAAAAATAAAAAATTAAAAAAAAAGAAGTAACTAGCTCTCGCCACAGGCCTCTGGAATGCAGGCAGGAGGATACCCCTCGACCACTATGGACACTTGAGTTGTCGGGGAGAGCTGCTTAGAGAAGTGTTCAGTTAGCAGACCAGCATGTGTGGAGCTCGGAGGTGTTTAGTGCAGGAGTGTTTGTAACAGAGCATGGCCAGCAATGCCCATCCCCCTGGGCTCAACTTGGTCCCAGAGGACACCGTTAGGGAACTGTAGGACCTGAACTGGGCAGGGTGGTCTTGCCTATCAGACAGGGCCAGTCCCACCTGAGCACCTTTTAGTCTGCTGGCCTCTCCTTGGGCCCCAGCCTGGCTGCACCCGCTTGCTGTGCAGCTTCATTTGCCCTGGGGGCCCACATTATAGCTTCTCCTATATTATAGACTGTATCTGACTGGCAGAGAGCTCCAGCAGAAGTCCACGCACTCCCTGACTGCCCTATAGTTTCCCCCCAGCCCATGGCCACCCCCAACATCACTTTTCTGGCCTGTGAGTGCATGGGCAAATTTTGCCTTCTCTGACTGCCAGTGCACAGATATGTATGCACCCTGCCCTACCTCTCCTGCTGGCTGAGTGCACTCCACCCACCCTTCGCTGCCCTACTGGCATGCATTCTAAACCTTAGCAGGCACAGAACCTACCAGCCCCACCCCCACCAGCACCCAGTTCTTGTGCAAACACTGCCACAAGAATGAAACTAGGCATGGAGAACAGTGGACCTTCCCCACCCTGAGCAATCACAAAGGGCTCACACAGACCTGTGCCCATCAGCACCTTGCCCCGTGTTAACAACACCACCAGCATGACTGTATGCACAGTTGCCAATGCTGACCCCTGTAGCCATGCTGACTCCACTGCTGCTGTGAATGTCTGCACAGAGGCAGACACCCTGGCACAGTCCATGATCATGCACCCTACTGTGCTACCACTGCTGCTGCTGCTGCTGCTGGCAGTGAAAACAAGGATGGATGCTGCCACTGCATTATGAAGTGCTTTGGTTGACACCACCCATCAGAGTGTAGTGGCCAGCAGTCCCAGAGCACTTTGGCCCCCTCAGTGCAGTGGCTTTCTAACCTTGAAGAGTCAAAGAACAAATCTGGGGACCAATACACCTCCCCTAGAGTTAGAGCACACAGTCCAGGAGTTAGGAGTTGAGTTTTGGGCCCCTAAAATCTTCCAGAAATGAAGGCAGTTGACTGAACCTACCAAATACCACAGTCAAACCATCAAGGTAATTAAATAAGATAAAGGAAAAAGAATCCAAAGGACAGCAACTTGAAACATGGAAGGAATATCAGCCCACAAAGATGAGAAAGAACCAGCACAAGAACGCTGACAACTCAAAAAGCCAGAGTGCCTTCTTTCCTCCAAATGAATGCATTACCTTTCCAGCAGGGGTTCTGGACCAGGCTGAGATGGCTGAAATGACAAAAATAGAATTCACGACATGGAAAGAAATGATGATCATCTAGATGCAGGAGTACATTGAAACCCAATCCAAGAAAGTTAAGAATCATAATAAAAAAAAAATAAAGGAGCTGACAGACAAAATAGCCAGTATAGAAAAGAACATGAGCAACCTGACAGAGCTGAAAAAATATACTACAGAAATTCATACTGCAATCCCTAGTATTAGTAGCAGAATAGATCAAGTGGAAGAATGAGTCTCAGAGCTTGAAGACTGGCTTTCTGAAATAAGATAGTCAGACAGGAATAGAGCAAAAAGAATAAAAAGGAACAAACGAAAGCTCCAAGAAATATGGGATTGTGTAATAAGATGAAATCTACAACTCATTGATGTTTCTGGAAGAGTTGGAAGAGTTGGGGAGAATGAAAGAAACTTGGAAAACATATTTTAGGATATCATCTGGGAGAACTTCCCTAGTGTAGCTAGGGAGGCCAACATTCAAATTCAGGAAATGCAGATAACCTAAGTAAGATATCTCACAAGAAGATATTCCCCAAGACATGTAATCATCAGATTCTCCAAGGTCAAAATGAAATAAAAAATATTAAAGGTAGCTAGAGGGAAAGGTCAGGTCACCTACAAAGGGAATCCATCAGACTAACAGCAGACTTCTCAGCAGAAACCCTACAAGCCATAAGAGATTGGGGATAATATTTGACACTCTTAAAAAAAATAAATTCCAAGATTTTTATATCGGAACAAAGTAAGCTTTATAAGCAAAAAATAAATAAGATCCTTTTTAGACAAGCAAATGCTAAGGGGATTCATTATCACCAGATCTACCTTACAAGTGCTCCCAAAGAAAGCACTAAATATGGAAAAGAAAGACTATTACTAGTCACTACAAAAATACACTAAAGTAAACAGAAAAATGACACTATAAAGCAACCATGTAAACAAGTTTGCAAAATAACCAGCTAACATCATGATGTCAGGATCAAATTCACAGATATTAATACTAACCTTGAATGTAAATGGGCTAAATGCCCCAATTAAAGGGGACAGAGTGGCAATATGGATAAAGAACCAAGACCCATTGGTATGCTGTCTTCAAGAGACCCATCTCACATGCAATGATACCCACGGGCTCAAGGAGATGGAGAAAAATGTACCAAGTAAATGGAAAACAGAAAAAAGGGGGGGTTGCAATCCTAATTTCAGACAAAATAGACTTTAAATTTACAAAGACCATAAAAAGACAAAGAAGGGTATTACATAATGGTAAAGGGTTTATTTCAAGAAGAAGACCTAACTATCGTAAATATATATGCATCCAACACAGGAGCAGACAGAATCATAAAGCACACTCTTAGAGACTTTCAAGGAGACTTAGACTCCCATACAATAAGAATGGGAGCATTCAACACCCCACGGAGAGTATTAGGCAGATCATCAAAGCAGAAAATTAACAAAGACATTCAGGACTTCAACTCAGCACTGGATCAAATGGACCTAAAAGTCATCTACAGAACTTCCACCCCAAATCAACAGAATATACATTCTTCTGATCGCTACATGGTACGTATTTAAAAAGTGACCATATAATCTGACATAAAACACTTCTCAGCAAATGCAAAAGAACTGAAATAACAACCACTCTCTTGGACTACAGTGCAATAAAATTAGAAATCAGGACTATAAAACTGCACAAAAATACACAATTACATGTAAATTGAATAACCTGCTCCAGAATGAGTTTTGGATAAATAATGAAATTAAAGTAGAAAACAAGCAGTTTTTTTAAAAACTAATGAGAACAAAGATACAACATACCAGAATCTCTGGGTCACTGGTAAGGCCAAGTTAAGACCAAAATTTATAACAGTAAGCATCCACATCAAAACATTGGAAAGATCTCAATTTTACAATCTAACATCACAACTAAAAGAGCTAGAGAACCAAGAACCAAGAGCAAACTAATATCAAAGGTATTAGAAAACAAGAAATAACAAGAATCAGAGCTGAAAGGAAGGAGACTGAGACATGAAAATCCATTCAAATGATCAATGAATCCAGCAGTTGGTTTATTGAAAAAAATTAATAAAAAAGGTAGATCATTAGCTAAATGAATGAAGAAGAAAAGAAACAAAACCCAAAAAACACAATTGGAAATGACAAAGGGGATATTACCACTGACAGCACAGAATGACAAATAACCATGTGAACACCTCTGTGCACACAAACTAGAACACCTAGAAGAAATGGATAAATTCCTGGAAACATACACTCTCCCAGGACTGAATGAAGAAGAATCCCTGTACAGCTCAATAATGAGTTCTGAAATTGAATCAGTAAATAATACCCTATAAACCAGAAAAAGCCCAAGACCAGAAAGATTCAGAGCCAAATTCTACCAAATGGTACCAGAACAGGTACCATTCCCACTATAACTATTTTAAAAAATTAAGAAGGAAGAACTCCTCCCTAATTCATTCTATGAGGCCAGCATCATCCCTATACCAAAACCTGCCAGAGATAAAATAAAAAAAGGAAACTTCAGGCCAATATCCTTAATGAACATCAAGTGTAAAAATCCTCAATAAAATACTGGCAAACTGAATCCAGCAGCACATCAAAAAGCTAATCCATCACAATCAAGTAGGCTTTATCCCTGGAATGCAAAACTGGTTTAACATCCACAGATTAATACATATGATTCATCACATAAACAGAACTAAAGACAAAAACCACATGATTATCTTAATAGAGGCAGAAAAGACTTTCAATAAAATTCAACACCCCTTCATGTTAAAAACTTTCAATAAACTAAATATTAAAGAAACATACCTCAGAATAAGAGCCATCTATGACAAACTCACACAAACCCACAGCCAACATCGTATGGAATGTGCAAAAGCTGGAGGCATTCCCTTTGAAAATCAACAGAAGACAAGGAAGTCCTCTGTCACCACTCCTATTCAACATATTATTGGAAGTCCTGGTCAGAGCAATCAGGCAAGAGAAAGAAATAAAGGGCATCCAAATAGCAAGAGAGGATGTCAAACTATCCCTTTTTGCAGATGATGTGATTCTATATCTAGAAAACCCTATAATCTTGGCCCAAAAACTCCTTCAGCTGATAAACAACTTCAGTAAAGTTCCAGGGTATAAAATCAATGTGCAAAAATCACTAGCATCCCTATTCACCAACAACAGTCAAGCCGAGAGCCAAATCAGGAACACTCTCTCATTCATAATTGTTACGATAAGAATAAAATACCTAGGAATACAGCTAACCAGGGAAGTGAATGATCTTTACAAGGAGAATTACAAAACATTGCTCAAAGAATCAGAGATAACATAAACAAATGTAAAAACATTCCACACTTACAAATAAGAAGAATCAGTATCATTAGAATGGCCATATTGCCCAAAGCAATTTATAGATTCAATGCTATTTCTATCAAACTACCAATGACATTCATCAAAGAACTGGGAAAAGCTATTTCAAAATTTATATGAAACCAAAAAAGAGCCCAAATAGCCAAGACAATTTTAAGTAAAAAGAACAAAGTTGGAGGCATCATCCTACCTAACTTGAAACTATGCTACAAGGCTACAGTAACCAAAACAGCATGGTACTGGCACAAAAGCAGACATATAAACCAATGGAAAAGAACAGAGAGTCCACAAATAAGGCTGCACACCCACAGCCATCTGATCTTTGACAAACTCACTAAAACAAGCAATGTGGAGAGGACTTCCTATTCAATAATTGGTGCTGGGATAGTTAGCTAGCCATATGCAGAAGATTGAAGCTGGGCCACTTCCTTATACCATATAAAAAAGTCAACTCAAGAAGGATTAAAGAGTTAAATGTAAAACCCAATAATATGAAGGCCCTAAAATACAACCTAGGCAATACCATTCTAGACATGGGCAAAGATTTCATGAAAAAGATGCCAAAAGCAATTGTGACAAAGCAAAAATTGACAAATGGGATCTAGTTAAACTGAAGTGCTTCTATACAGCAAAGTAAACTATCAACAGAGTAAACAGACAATCTATAAAATGAGAGAAAATATTTGTAAACTATGCATCTGACAAAAATCTAACATCCAGCATCTCTAAGGAACTTAAATAATTTTACAAGAAAACAATCTTATTACAAAGTGGGCAAAGGACATGAACACTTTTCAAAGAAACACATACATGTGGCCAGCAATCATATGAAAAAAAACTCAACATCACTGAACATTAGGAAAATGCAAATCAAAATCACAGTGAGATACCATCTGACATCAATCACAATGGTTATTAAAAAGTCATAAAATAGGTGCTGGCGAGGTTGTGGAGGAAAATGGAACCCTTATACACTGTTGGTGGGAGTGTAAATTTGTTCACCCATTGTAAAAAAATAATGTGGTGATTCCTCAGAAGCCTAAAATCAGAACTACCATTTGACTCCACAATCTCATTCCTGGGTATATACCCAAAGGAATATAAATCACTCTATCATAAAAACACATGCATACATACGTTTATTGCAGTACTATTCACAATAGCAAAGACATGGACTCAACCTAAATGCCTATCAATGGTAGACTGGATAAAGAAAATATGGTGCATATACACCATGGCATACTATGTAGCCATAAGAAAGAACCAGATCAAGTCCTCTGCAGGAACGTGGACGGAGCTGGAGGTCATTTTCCTTAGTAAACTAACCCAGGGACAAAAAACCAAATACTGCCTGTTCTCACTTATGTGAGAGCTAAATAAATGAGAACACATGGACACATAGAAGGCAACAACAAACATCAGAGGGTGAAGCATGGTGGGAGGGAGAAGATCAGCAAAAATAACTAATGGGTATTAAGCTTAATATCTGGATGACAAAATAATCTGTACAACAAACTCCATGATGTGAGTTTACTTGTTCAACAAACCTGCACATGTACTCCTGAAGTTAAAATAAAAGTTAATAAAAATAAAAAGAGAAAACATTCCTCATCTAAGAAAAAGGAATACAGGAGAGATCCATAAAAGTTTGGAGGTATACATGTGTATGAGAGGGTCTGCATTATTGGTTACCAGAGAAAGTATGAGGTCAATAGCTTTACATATACTGCCTACACTTTTGGGCGAGGGTAACATCTAAGTAACAATAGCAGCTTTCACTTACCTAGCATGTTCTATACTATGTGCTGTTCTAACTCCTTTATATCTATATCAACTAATTCAATCATCAAGACATATGTGTAGAATTACTATTCTGACCTTACTAATAATGGAATGGAGAGAAAGAGAGTTTGTGTACTCCCTCAAGGCCACAAAGCTAGTAAATGGAGAAGTTGGAATTTGACAGAAAGGTTATGCTGTCATTGCCCTATGTTTGCATCTCTTAGAACACCATTCAGACAATGTCCCCTGTTATCTACAGTTCTATGTAAGGGAACACCAAAAGTTCCCATGGGTTTTTCAGTTGTGAATGTTTGCTGAGACTGAGGATCTATAGTCTTTCCAAGTACCACTGGAGTATTGGCAGGACAAATACCTGGTCGGTATGCCTCAGCATGACTTTACATGTTGAAACAGAAATCCTGGTTATTGACAGGAAAGTAGCAGCTGCTCTAGCCTCTGAGTGCCTTTCACTTCCCAGTCCCCACTCTTGCAGCACTCTGATAAGACTTCCCACAATGCATGAAATAGTGTGCTAACACTGACATAACCAGGGCCTCTAAGACCCTATTCCACTTTTCTGGCCAGCATCTGTTCTGATTGCCAGTAGCTGCACCATACCAGTTGGAGTAAATTTTGAATATACGTCTGGATATGAGACAAACAGAGGTTTTGGGAAGAGTCCTGTGATGGACATCCTATATTGGGCCATAATGAACTTTCATCTCAATTTCTCAGAAGATCCCCCAAGTGGAGACAACTCTTTAGGAAATATATCTGCTCTTGAAGAACCTGCTATTATTCATTCATATCCACCAGTACCAAGTATTTCATGTGAGGTGAAAACATTAGTTGTGAGTTAACATGGTATACAGTATCAGCTGTCAGTCAATAACTTGCTCCAGTGCACCCAGCCCCAGAAACTAACCCTCTAGCTCTAGTTCTCACTGTTGTTACTGGCAGCAATGGCCACTTGATGGCTGGGGGAGATCCTTGGTCAGTTAGAAGGAAGGATCAGGTATGGAGAAGCACTGAACTAACACTGATTTATACTTTCCAAAGTTGATGGAGAGCCACCGGATTAGACCATATAACCTTATAGTTTTAAGAGTAAATTGTTTGGCAGAAGGCAGAGTGCTAACGGAAAGAAATAAAAATAGAGAAATTACATTTGTTTCATGTTCAAGAGTATAATTCTTGAAATAGTATTTCTCCACTCATATTACAATATATTAAGACATATCAGAGGTGGAAGAAATAATGACAATGATTTAGGCTGACCTCTGACTCTCTAAAGCATTCTTAAAATGTGCCATCTAGTTGCATTAGGTAATTTCATGAAGAGGAAATCAACATTTTACAAAGAAATACTAATGTTTAGAGACAGTTCAACACTGAATGGTCTTTCTTATATTTGCACAGTGCAGTGTAATTTGTAAAATACTTTCATCCACATTATCTCATTGTCTCATCATTACTGCCCTGCAAGGACTGAGGGTCATCTTTTAGGACATCTATTTCGATTTTCAGAACTTGGGAAATAATAGAAAATGTAGGCAATTAAATGAAGTTATTCTGACCTCAGTAGAGTAGTCTGAAAAACATAAAATGGAGCTTCTACTCATTATTTTGTTTTCTTAAATCTCTCCCTTTTTAATAAAAGCAAGATGTAGCAAAACTTACTACTTACCACTACAAATTTAGTTAATCAAAGGCTCAATGAAGATTTTTTTTTTCTTACCAGCCATTATTGGTCTATGCCATCTCCCCTTCTCTTAATTCTATTTTTATTCATGCTTTGGACATTGATAATGACAAAAAAGGAAACATTTGTCTTCCTAGCAGGCATACCCCCATCACACACACACACACACACACACACACACACACACACACACACCCCTTCCTCCACCTCATCTAACTATTTAAAAACTATCAATTCCAACTACTTGAAATTTTAAAATATAGACACGTATTTGGTTTAACAATTGCCTTTTGGAAGCTAAAATACTTCCAAGTATGTCATTAACCTTGATGTGAACTCTGATATTTAATCAAATTTTTTATTTCTATTTTTTGGTAGCAATTAATATTTTTTTGCAGAAATTATTGAACATTCTTTTTTGCTTTTATTATTATTTTTGATAGAGACATAATTGCACATATTAATGGGGTACAGCGTGATATCTTGATATATGTATACAATATGTAATGGTCATATTCAGAGTAATGAACAATTAAATATTTAAACAGAAATTTGTGTTGGAGAACAGAGCAGAGAAAAGAAAGGAGTAGGGAGGTGAGTTTTCAGCATATAGCCCTTGACAAGTGGAGATCCAGGCCCAGTTTAGGACGTGTTAAGTAAGGAAAAAGAGGAGGAGCAAGAATCAGTAGAGAGCGTGGGAGAGGCAAAATCAAAGACCATCTGCTATTTTGACACTGTCTGGGCAACTTCTAGGGTAAGGATCTAAATACTTTGCCCAGCACTCACTGTAAACACGTCCTTCTAGTGGCTTAAAGTCTAGATGGGTGGCTATAATTATCATCAAAATATGTATTTATATAAACACAGCCTAAATAATACATATAAACATTTGTCACCGTAAATTTGTCAAATATTACATGGTAGAACTAAAATATATCAGAGATGTTCTGGTCAAAAAGACGTGCTTATATACAGAGGAAAGGGGAGCATGCTATGTGTAGAGAGGAAATCCAATAAAAACTTGACTCCATTTATTTTTCTATTCAATATTTGTTTATGCCATGCCTACTGTGTGCAAAACATAGTGCTGGTAGTGTCTGAAGAACAGTTGTTGACCTATGAAGCAGAAATGGAGAATGTTTTCAGGCAGATCCTAGAGACTTTGGGATGCTTATTTTTAGACCACCTCAAGAGGCCTTTGAAAGACAAACTAAACATACTGGGTTTCATCTTGCAGGCATTAGCAAGGCGTTATACAGCAGGTCCGCGAATAACATTGTTTTGTTCATTGTTGTTTCATTATAAAGCTTACCAAAAAAAGGAATAAATAAATGAATAAAAATTATTGTCAAATAAAACATCAAGTATCCCATAATCATACAAATGAACGACTGTAAATAATGCAGTACAAAGCGCTCAGTGAGCCCACTGTATTCATGATTGTGTTTGAACTGCATGGTGGTGGGATATGCTCCTGACAATATTGTCTTTGCAAACATTAATTCCTTGATTTAACTCACTATGCTGAGACTGCCATCACTCACTAATTCATGAAAAATTGAGCAAATAATTATCTGACTTGGTTTTAATTAACCCTTCTTAAATGTACTGATAGCTCACATTTATTTCAGTGTTTAATAATGGAAAAGTTTTGGGTCTTATTTAGAAGCTTGTTGATGTTTTGTGGTCAGAAATAGGCCATAGGGAGCTGGTCATGGTGCTGCATACCTGTAGTTCCAGCTGTTTGAGAGTCTGAGGCAGGGGATCATTTGAGAGCAGGAGTTTGAGGCTATAGAGTGCTATAATGGCACCTGTAAATTGCCACTGAACTCCAACCCATGTAACATAGCAAGATCTCATCTCTAAAAAGAAGGAAAGAAATATGCCCTGGAAACTTATATCTTGTTGATATTAATGAGCCTATGTGTTAAAATTGGTTTTGTTATACGGCATTGTACTTGAAGTCACAGTTTCTAAGAACCTATTGACAATATTAAGTGAAGACTTACTGTGGATACATTTCTGAAGAAAACACATTATTTCCATCTAATATTAATGCTCCATTCTTGAAATGGCATTTTCAGAGAAGATTTCAGTAAAATGAATGTTGCTAAAAGGAACCTATAATTCACTAAGGGAGCAATATTAATTAGAGAAATATGTGCCTCTGAATTCATACAATTTGCATTTCATTTTATGGTTTATTTTTTTGCAAACAGTTTACTAAATGATTGCAGTTGCAGATGGTTAAATTATTACCATCAGATGGCTGCCATGGCTGATATTACAGAAATAGGATAAAATCTGGTTCTTTATAAATAACAGAAAATCAGTGTTAAGCTTAAAAAAAAAAAGCATGATTTTCTGCTATAGCTGGCCCTTGATGTCAATGAGTCCAAGAGAAGGTAACAAGAAATCAATCTGTGGGAATGTCCATATTGGCTAGGAAAGACTGGTAAGTCAAATGTCCCTTTTCTATCTAGACAGGAGCTATCCCTGCTCTCATGACTTTCTTTAACAGACCTGGTCAGTACCAGTTTTGGAGCAAGGTGGCTGTTAAAAGAAGATGCTAGATCTTAGATTCAGTCAACATTGACTGTTGTGACCAACTGTCCAGTCTGCCCAAGACTATCCTGGTGACAGCCAGTATCAGCATTAAGTACAGCATTTTTTTGTGAGAATGAATATAAAGGGGTTCCAGAAAGTGATGTACGTCATCCTCCATCTGTCAGTAAAATCTGGGCATCAGTGCAATCTTTTTAAGTCTGGAACTTGCTGAGCTGTGGATTATTGTTTTATTTTTGTAGTTAGGAATAAGTGAAATAAGTTGTGTATGAATGCTGTCTACTAACACTGTTCAGGATAAAGCACCATTTCAAAAATGATTTTGCATATTAATTAAAGTCATTTCTAATAATCTCCACTTATATAAAAAGAATTTAGAATTGCAAACTAAAGTTATAGTGATTAGCAACTAAAGTAGGGCTTCATTCCAAATTCATAGCAATGCAATTCACCTAGATGCAGACAGTTAGGCAGACAATGCGAAATCAAGCACAAAGTTTTCTTCAATCTTTATTAAACATTCGACAGATTCTTGTTAGGCCTTTTCTCTGTTCTCTCTACTGGGCTTAGGGGTGATAGTGGGAAATAAAAACATAAAAGCCTCTATAATCATAAAGATGCTAAGATTAAAAGTGGAGAAGTATGGAAGGAGTTGAGCACAAGGAGCAAACTCTTTGGGCATAGATGTGGTTACAGATGTGTGTGTAGGAAAGAAATGGAAGGCTTCCTGGAGAGAGAAAGCAATGTTTAAACTAAGATCTGTAGCATGTATAATACCTAGTTATTTAGGAAATGTCATCATCCAGTTTTGGCAATACATTCATTGACAAGGTATATGGTGTTGAAGGAAACAAGCGATATGGTTTGGGTCTGTGTCCCTGCTTAAATCTCATGTCAGATTGTAACCCCTAATTCTCTAGTTGGAGGTGGAGTCTGGTAAGAGGTGATTGAATCATGGGAATTTTTTCTCCTGAATGGTTTACCAACATAACCTTTGGTGATATTCTCATGATAGTGAGTGAGTACTCACAAGATCTGGTTGTTTAAACATGTGTAGCCTTTCCCCTTCTCTTTCTTCCTCCTTTTCCAGCCATGTGCAGTGCTGGCTCCCTCTTTGCCTTCCAACATGATTGTAAATTTCCTGAGGCCTCCACAGAAGATAAGCAGAGCCAGCATCATGCTTCCTGTACAGCCGGTGGAATCGTGAGCCAATTAAACCTCTTTATAAGTTACCCAACCTCAGGTATTCATAGCAACGCAAAAACGAACTAATATGAGTAATTTCTAAGTTTCTTTCTAGGGCACCTCACTGCATGCTGTTCTCATTGCTTATAGATAGCAGGTCGGTGCAGAAAGACGGTGAACTTAGGTTTAAAATGAAAACTACTTGACCCAGTGGCAAGGGGAACAGTTATATAGGTGGCCACCAACTACAGGCAAAAACAGGTTCAAGGGTTGCCTTGCATAATGAAAGATGATAAGATCTATTTATTTGTGCAAAAGGTTTATATTCCTAAGAACAGGACATGGTGCCATTTGTCCTCTCAGTCTAGGAAAGGTGATGGGGTTCTTTCAAGCAAATAAACACAATCCTGTATTAAACTGCATTGACAGATGAATAGTACTCAGAATAATGAATTTAATAACATGTTCTATTCTGCATTTTTAGATCCTTGCTACTCAGAGTTGCTGACTAACCAGCAGCTTTGGCATGACAGAGAATCTTGATAGAAGCAAAGAATCTAGGGCCTCCTCCTACCTGCTGAACCAGAATCTGAACCTTAAAAGACCTCGAGTGGATCACGAGTTCAAGAGATCGAGACCATCCTGGCTAACACGGTGAAACCCCATCTCTACTGAAAATACAAAAATTAGCCGGGCCTGGTGGCAGGCGCCTGTAATCCCAGCTACTCAGGAGGCTGAGGCAGGAGAATGTCATGAACCCAGGAGCCGGAGGTTGCAGTGAGCCGAGATTGTGCCACTGCACTCCATCCTGGGTGACAGAGAGAGACTCCATCTCTAAAAAAAAAAAAAAACAAAAAACAAAAAAAAAAAACCTCCAAGAGATGGGAATGGGGAATGCACATTAAATTTACAAAGTGCACTCAAGGCTACCCATACCATCCTACTTTTGCTTCTGAACTTGTCTCTTAAGAAAATCTGAACCACCTGAATAAATTTGAAAGGACTATAATCAGAATGTTGAGGAAACTTGACACAACACAAGGAAATGTTTAGCCAAGAAATAGGATAGCATACAAGAAATACGGTTTTTCAAATTTCTCAGTATGTCAGGTGAAATCAAGTGTTAAAAACCAGAACAATGAGTAAAACAAATCACAAAACAACAACAAAATCCCTAAGGGAAAATTATGCCTAATTATTTACCGGAGATGATAGCGGTAGTATCAGCAAATTCTCTAACACTGGATATATACTGAAGAGGAAGGAAGAACTCCATTAATATTTATTTTGTCAATTAATATGAGCCAGGAACTTTACTGTGTTTTCCATGTTTCTCATTTTACTGGATGTCTGGCTTTATAATCCTTACAGAAGATAAAAAGCAAAGAAAACATAGTGCAAACAGAAAAAGACGAAACACTAAAACCCAGGCTGCTTTCATTTACTCCTATTGGCTTGATTCCATGGCAATTAGAATGGCCGCAGTGAGCTTTTCTCTTCCATTTTATTGCTGGTATCTAGTGTTTTGTCCTGAGCCTCCCATCCCCTATGCCCTCCTCCCAATGCTAACCACTATATTTTTCACCTAATTTTTATCTTTATTTCCTACATGTGGATGCACAGGTTCTCTTCCATTTTATTGGCTGGCAATTTTGAAATCTGTAAGTGGTAACGGGATTTGAGCATGGTTTATGTTGGCTATTATGCCTTGTCTGGGTTGAATGCTGTGTAAGGTGTAGGGATGTCTGCAAGGTCAGGCTTCAGAACTTTTATTAGCCTCGGATCTTATTTGGTTCCAAGCTACATGCTGATAGAGCCTTTCTTCTTGGTGATATTTCCTTTTGAAAGAAGATGCTTTCCATATTTCAATCCTCAGAAGTGCACTGCATGAAGCAACACAAAAGAAATGAATCATCGTTTGCTGTTTTATCACCAAGACTCATTACATAACTAATATGGGGTTTTACAGTAAATATGCACAATGGTGTTTACAATGAGTTGACCAGTAAGCATGTGAAACTTCCATGCCACAAATTGTCTTAAATGCCATTAAAGAAGTAATGACCTTGTAAAAATCAAATGGAAAAAAGGATAAGTACTGTTTTTTCTGCTCCTAATTCATGCTTGTAACTCTGGAACTGGATGCACAAATTTTTACTACAGCCTGGTTGGTCTAATGCAATTCATGAGAGATACTGTGCGGCAATTGTATGAAAGAACTGCTCAACTCTGGGCAGCCAAGCTTTGTCAGAAGTTGCATGTATATATAATTTGTTTTCTCAGTAACTCCTTCATTACCTAATCATCTGAGAGGATCAAAGTTCTACCTTTTGAAGATTAATGAGAAGGGAAGAAAGAAAGCAACTTATGTGTCATCTACTGTGTACTGGGAACATTAAGCAAATTTTATTTAATCCTTACAGCGACATTACAATGAAGCATTATTATTACATTTTAGAGTTGAAGAAATGGAGCCAAGATGATTTCAACAGTTTGCTCCCTCTGTACCTGCCATGTTGTACACACGTTGGGTTTTTCACCTTTTCAACAATACTATATGAGGAAATCATTATCTCCATTTTGCGGTCAAAAAGGTGGTTGATAGGAGTGTTTAAAAATGTACATTTTTGACCTCTTTGAGTCTTAGTTACGTATATAAAGGGTTTTTCTATTTGACACTATTAAAATTTTGGACTGAATAACTTTTTGTTGGTGGTGGCTGTCTTTGTCGTGGGGGTCTACCATGTGCATTGTAGGATATTAATTAGCATTCCTGGCCTTTGCACGCTACTATAGGCACAAGGTACATACCCCCCCACCCCCAACAATTGTGGACACAAACAAACAAAAACTCTAAACATTGCCAGATATCTCATAAGGGGCAAAATCACCCCTATGTAAAAGTAGTAATGCAAAAGGATAACCATTGCAAGCAAGCAACAATTCTGGGATGCTAATGGAGATCCTGAAGACTGCAAATCCTTTGGTCACTTAAATAATTACTAAGAAATCATAATTATAGCTAACATTTATTTAGTGTATGCATATGAAGTAAATACAGGTTTTTTTTGTTTGTTTTTGGTTTTTTTGCCTATAGGGAAAGTGAGGCACAGCAAGGTTAAATCATTTATCTAAGGTCGAAGGCCTAGAAGTAGTAATGTGGTGATTTTTATACACTCCACATCTTCTTATGTTAGACACTGTTGGTGAACTATCCAGTAACCACTTCCAATCCCTTCTGCCTTGTAGGAAGAGCTATCCTTCCATCAGAGGGGCTTCTGATGTTAGAGATTTGATTTTCCTTTCCACATATCCGTGCCATAATCCACTAATCCATCACGACTAATGGGTTTGGCTTGTGGTGATATGGCTGCTGGTGGTGGACGTTCTTGTAATTTTTTTCTCTTGGATGAAAGAGAGACATGTGCTAAGTGAGGCTTCTCCTTTCCCTACCATTTAGATTCTGAGATACGGCATCTATTGTGAATAGCACAGCAAAGTCATGGTATGAAAGCCAGGGTTTTGAAGACCAGGAGAAGAAGGGTGAGATCCTTGAGAGCCTAACCAACCCTGGGACTACCTACCTGCAAACATCTATTTTGAGAGACAATAAAACTTCCTATTGATCAAGGCACTGTTACTTTGGCATTATTTCATTTGCAGCTAATATCATCTTAATTTGCATGTTCCCAAGAAGCAACTATTTTAGAGATCTCTTGTTTTAGCCTTTGTAGGGAACTCAGATGCAGACTGTTGACTTAATCATACTCCTTGATTCATGACATATAACCTTCTCTTGTTATAAATATGTCTTTATTTCTTTTTATCTATATTTCCCACCAGGAATAAATCTGAAGGTTTTGATGTGTACCTTTTTATTAGCATGTAATTATGTTAAACATTGAATGGCATTTTGTTGGCATATATTGCTAATTTATATAATAAAAATAAGATGAATAATAACCAGTATTATGGATCACTTACTATCTCCCAGGCATTTACCAAGTGCCTTTCATACATTGAATCATGTAATTCTAACAACAATCCTGTAAGATAGGCACTGGCATTTTCCTAGCTTCATGAATGAGGAAAATAAGGCACAGAGAGGTATATAAATGACACGGGGCTATAGATGTCATTCTGCTTATTACCTTTTTCACCCAGCACCTTGACTTTTAGGTCTAACCACAGTGGGGCCTGTGCACAGACTTTGTTGCTTATGGCATGTTATTCTCTTAGGCACATCCTCTACATGGACCCTTAGATGACCTCCAAATTTCTGCCATCAAAAATAAAGGTGCATTAAGTATCCTTATCCATATGCATTAAAATATTCCTATCTATAGTATATACAGAAAGACATATATCCAGAAGTCATTTACTTTGAGTAAAATACATAACCTGATTATGCTCTGAATGGATGTGCTAGACTTCCTGACCACCAAACATGCATGCGGATTCTTATGTCCCTATATACCTGTCAACATTCGGCAGTATCCAGCACTGTAATTTTTGTCAAACTATCTAGAGTAAAATAATATCTCATTACGTTTACATGTTCATTTTTCTAATCATGTAGAAATTCAAACATCTTCCTATGATTTGTAATAGGATTTCTCCTTAAGCCTTCAGTATTTTAAAATGTAACCTGTTTTATGCCATGTGCATCATTTTCATTCAACACACTGATGAAGTGGGAACATTTGTTCATATGCTAAATATCAATAGCTTATTTCTGAACAATCAATACATAAGAGAGTCTTGGTAGATAAATTATAGAATGAAAGTGAATCTCCTTTTTTGAGTTGGGAAATTAAAATAGAAAATAAAGAAAAAGAAATGGGTATTTCATGGATAAAGAGATATGCTAATATTGTTCTGGTCATTGTTGTGGCTAAGATTTTTTAGTCATTTGAGTTTCATTTCTTGCTTCACTTCTAAGTGAAGGTCTACTCCAGACCTTGCATAAAGTATAGGAAAGCCCATGATGTAAAATTTTTCAGTCTGGCATAATTAGAGTCCAATAATATAAATAAAGATTCACTAACCACAAGCTGAGCCAACCAACCCAGCTGGGACACTGTGATTTGAAAGGTACTCTTGAGAGGATGATGCTTCATATAGTCACTTCCTAAGGACCTCTTCAAGGAGAGCTACAAACCACTACTCAAGGAAATAAGAGAGGACACAAACAAATAAAAAAACATGCCATGCTCATGGATGGGAAGACTCTATATCATGAAAATGGCCATACTGCCCAAAATAATTTATAGATTCAATGCTATCCCCATCAAGCTACCACTGACTTTCTTCACAGATTGGAAAAAAACTACTTTAAACTTCATATGGAACCAAAAAAGAGCCCACATAGCCAAGACAATCCTGGGCAAGAAGAACAAAGCTGGAAGCATCATGCTACCTGACTTCAAACTATGTTACAAGCCTACAGTAACAAAAACAGCATGGTACTGGTACCAAAACAGATATATAGACCAATGGAACAGAACAGAGCCCTCAGAAATAATACACCACATCTTCAACCATCTGATCTTTGACAAACCTGACAAAAACAAGCAATGGGGAAAGGATTCCCTATTTAATAAATGGTGCTGGGAAAACTGGCTAGCCATATGCAGAAAATAGAAACTGGACTCCTTCCTTACACCTTATACAAAAATCAATTCAAGATGGATCAAAGACTTAAATGTAAGACCTAGGACCATAAAAATCCTAGAAAAAAACCTGGGCAATACCATTCAGGACGTAGGCATGGGCAAAGACTTCATGTCTAAAACACCAAAAGCAATGGCAACAAAAGCCAAAATTGACAAGTGGGATTTCATTAAACTAAAGAGCTTCTGCACAGCAAAAGAAACTATCATCGGAGTGAACAGGCAACCTACAGAATGAGAGAACATTTTTGCAATCTATCCATCTGACACAGGGCTAATATCCAGAATCTACAAAGAACTTAAACAAATTTACAAGAGAAAAACAACCCCATCAAAACGTGGGCAAAGGATATGAACAGACAAGTCTCAGAAGAAGACATTCATGCAGCCAACAAACATATGAAAAAATGTTCATCATCACCGATCATTAGAGAAATGCAAATCAAAACCACAGTGAGATACCATCTCATGACAGTTAGAATGGTGATCATTAAAAAGTCAGGAAACAACAGATGCTGGGGAGGATGTGGAGAAATAGGAACGCTTTTACACTGTTGGTGGGAGTGTAAATGAGTTCAACCATTGTGGAAGATGGTGTGGCAATTCCTCAAGGATCTAGGACTAGAAATACCATTTGACCCAGCAATCCCATTACTGGGTATATACCCAAAGGATTAGAAATCATGGTACTATAAAGACACATGCACACGTATGTTTATTGTGGTACTATTCACAATATCAAAGACTTGGAACCAACCCAAATGTCTATCAATAATAGACTGGATAAAGAAAATGTGGCACAGACACACCATGGAATACTATGCAGCCATAAAAAAGGATGAGTTCATGTCCTTTGCAGGGACATGGATGAAGCTGGAAACCATCATTCTCAGAAAACTATCACAAGAACAGACAACCAAACACCCCATGTTCTCACTCATAAGTGGGAGTTGAACAATGAGAACACGTGGACATAGGGAGGGGAACATCACACACTGGGGTCTGTAGGGGGTTGAGGGGCTAGGGGAGGGGTAACATTAGGAGAAATAACTAATGCAGGTGACGGGTTGATGGGTGTAGCAAACCACCATGGCACGTGTATACCTATGTAACAAACCTGCATGTTCTGCACCTGTATCCCAGAACTTAAAGTATAATAAAAAAGTACCCTCAACTTAATTCTATATGCATATCCTTGTCTATGAACACACACAAAGAATCTATTTTATTTTGCCACTGACGCCTGAGAAAAATATAGATACAAAAGACCGGTATTTGCAAGGAACTATAAGCATCTCAGTGTTGCTGGAGCAGACAGAGTGAGACAAGTCAGGCAAGAGGAGATAGAGGCGAGTCGAGCCTTGTGTGCTGTGTAAAGGAGCGTGGACTTTATCACAGAGCTGATGGGGACCCAGTGAAAAGATTTAAAGGGGGAGGGTTCTGTCAGAATTGCAGCTCAGTGGATGAGGGATTTGAACATTTGAAAAAGACAGGATTAAAGAAAGTGAGAGGAGTGATTCAGATGACCAGCAATGAAGTCTTAAGTAGAGCAATGGCAGAAGGTAAAGACAGGGGAGACTGATTGGGGAAATAACATTAGCAGGATACATGGCTGGAAAATGAGGAGTCTGAACAGGGAGAGAGGGAAAGGGAGAAGAGCAAAATGAGCTCTAGGCTCCTGAAAAACATAAATTGAAATGCAAAGAAAAGATACAAAAAAACTGATTACCCGGGAAAGTTCAAAATTTCCTTAGGTCAGGAAGCCCTGATGCCACAGAAATGAGAGTCAACGCTTGTAACTGCTGAACATGCCCAGACACTATTGTACATGCTTTACAGAGAATAATTCATTTAATCCCTACAGAAACTTTATCTACCTTTACAGATGGGAAACTAAAATGAGGTTAGTTAGCCTGCCAGAAATCACACAGCAAAAGCATGAGTCACGTATAGGCAATGTGGTTTCAGTCTGGGTTCCAGAGGCCATACTTTTAATGACTGCACTATTCTACCTAGAGTTCCAACTTGAAAGCCCTAGCTAAGTCTCAAACCCTCCTCAACCCCACACACACTCCAGGCAAGCCTCTGGCATGGCCTTCCACCTCTCTCGCTTGCTGCTGATTTTCACCACTGAGAGGGCATGAAGGTCCAACTGTGCTAAGGCTGAGGCTTCTGGCATGGAGAGAGTGGTGCTTTATCAGCTTCTGGGCTGTGATACAAACACCAATCCTTCCCAACAGCCTTGACAACTCTGTACAACAGCCATGATACATGTTTTTATGTACGTTTCTATTGCGGTGAGTTGGTATCCACCTGCTAAACTGGTACTTTCTCCAGGTGAGAAGAGAAAAGCCTAAAGTTTCCCTTTTTCATCAGAATTTAAATTGAAATTCAGGGCACATGCCTCTATCTGGTCAAATCTATTCTCATTAATTAGTTCAGGGGGTAGAGAGCTATAAGCCACAGGAGTTACTACTGGTGACACTGGAATATTCTGTGTATTTCTCTTCGTCATCTTTTTATTTTAGATTCAGGGAATACATGTTATTGTTTTTTACATGAGTACATTGCACAAAGTTGGGGATTGGGCTTCTAGTGTATCCATCACTCAAATATTGAACATTATACCCAATAGGTAATTTTAAACCCTTACCCTTCCCATTTTTATTATGCTCATTTTCAATGTTGCTGCTACTATAGTACATTTTCTTTAATTTTATTTTATATAAAAAGTCACGAGTTACACACACACACACGTACACACACACACATCTATGTACTTGTATATATATTTCAGCATACCAATGATAGATTAACTGTGTTCAACAAAAAGAATCTGCAAAGAAAGGGAAAGCATATTGGTCTGGTTGGGGGGTGGGGACGGGTGCATCGGCATAAACCTGATGAAAATCGATTTGTAAAGTTTGTATAATTAAAAAAGAGTATACTCAACAGGCTACTTAAGTTACTATAGGGGCCTCATAGACTAGACTGCAGAGTTGTCAAGAAAAAAAGAGTGATTGAAAATGTGTGTGTTGAAGAATGGAGAACCAATAATGTAGGACCAAAAACATTCCATTGCATGTGCAAATATTAGGATGCCTAGTCTTCTAAATACAGAAGTTGACTGCTGATTGATGTGCATTGGAGAATAAAAGGGAGATGGGAAAGTGACACAAAGTTTGATTAAATCAATGGAATAATTTTTTAACTATTAAAATAATTGAACATTCTGTTGCAGTTTCTCCACTGCAATGAAATAAAACAAAAATAAAAAGCATGACTATTGATTGGTCACAAAGAAAAGTAAATGTCTCTATCAACAGAAATGTGATGAACTACCTAGAATATCTGAAAAAAATTAAAGAAATTCTACTAAAACTATCCAAGTTGAGTAAGTTGGGCGAATATATATCCTGTAAATTTGTATGTCAATAGTTTGCCTATTCGCCAGGATAATTAGTTGTGTAATACAGTGGGAATCAAAATAGCAACATAAATATGAATCACTCAAGATTTGCTATAAGAAACAGACCAATGAAAACATTTAAGAAATATAAAATATGAGAGTTTTGTTTTCAACAAGATGGTAGAGACATACATTTCCATATCTTTGCTAATAAGTACAGTTAAAACCCTAGACATTATTTGTAAAACAAATATTAAAAGAATCAGAAAGCTCAAGAGAAGAAGAAAGATCAGCTGAAGATCTTGGGACGTCAGAAATTACATGACAGTGAATTCACTGTTTCTTTTTTGTCTCAGATATCCCAGATTTGGAGCTGAAAAAGACAGCAACTCAGAAATGTCAATGCACAAAAGAGGGGGAAAAAACAACAACAGAGAAACAGGAAAGGGACAGCCTAACTCTTTTTAGACCATAATTGGTCTATTCTAGTAAAAACTCCAAAAAGCTGTGGCCCCTCCACACCCATGCCAGCAAAAACCAAGTGGGGAGACATCCACCATGATGAAGCCCTAATGAGGGACCCAAAAAACCCACCAGGATGGTATTTAAAAAGGTCAAATGGAAATCTGGGACTTTTATCTCCACCAGCCAGTAATAACTGCTTCCCCACAGTGTCCATGGAGACTACATAGGGATAATGGATTACCACCACACCTGGCAGTAGCAAGGTGTCCCTCTCTCTGTCCCTGCAAACAGGGATGGTGTCAGAGATGCAGAGTCAGAAATTTCACCAACATTCTGTGATAACAAGCCCACCCTACTTGTGGTCTCAGCAGAAACTACATACTGAACTGGAACACCTGAGTCTCCACCCCCAAGAGTCAATGGAGTCAGAGTGGGGACTCTAGACTTTATTTTATTATTTTTTAGAGACGAGGTCTTTCTATGTTGCCTGTGCAGGTGTACAGGCATGGTCATAACATACTACATATTCACAGGCATGGTCATAACATACTATAGCCTTAAACCCCTGGGCTCAAATAATCCTTCTGCCTCAGTCTCCCAAGTAGCTAGAGCTATAGGTGTGTGCCACCATGCCTGACTGAGGGATCCTAAACTTTTGCTTTCAGCTGGCAGTAATGAGTCGGCACACTTTCTTCCTCTGCCATAATGGTGCCAGAAAACACACACACACACACACACACACACACACACACACACAGCTAAAATAAAAGATTTAAATAAGATTCAGAGTCTTGTAATACAAAAATTTCCAACTTTCATTAGATATCAAACTCAATAAAAAGAACTATCAATAGATGCCAACAGCAAGATTGTAGAGATGTTAAAAGTATATCACAAATATTTTAAAGTAGCCATGATAAAAATATTTCAATGAGAAGTACATGCATGCTTGAAACAAGTAAAATGTCTCAGCAAAATTTCAAGCCTTAGTAATGAAATAAAAGAGATGAAGACACAAATGGAAATTTTAAAACTAAGAAATACAATAACCAGAATAAAAAAACTTAGTTGATGGGCTGGACACAACAGAATGTGTGTGTGTGTGTGTGTGTGTGTGTGTGTGAGAGAGAGAGAGAGACAGAGAGAGAGAGAGAGAGCGTAAAGAATCAGTGGACTGAAGATAGTACAGTAAAAATGGCCAAATTTGACTAACTGTAAGAAGACAGACTGGAAAAAACAAAAGCACCTCACAGACCTTGAGATTATGACGGAATATCTAAAATTCACTTCTGAGTTCTGGAAGAAGAAAGAAAAAGGTAGGACTGAAAAAATATTGGGAAAAATAGTAGAAAACTTTCCAAATTAGGCAAGAAATTTAAGCAAACGGAATTAAGAAGCTTACAAAATATAAGCAGGATAAACCCAAAGAAATACATACCTGACAATCCTAATTTCTTTTCTAAAATTTAAACACATTCACACACAGTCTTAAAAACAGTGAGAAAATGGTACTTTACCTATATAGGCAAAATAATTCAAATAACAGCATATTTATCTTTAGAAATCACAGGCCCAGAGAAAGTATAATAATATTTTTTAAGAACAAACAAATCAATGCAGACACTTATGTCCATCAAAAATATTATTTAAGAATGAAAGAAAATCAAGACATTCTTGGTTGAAACAAAAATAAGAAAATGTATTGCCTGCAAAACTATATAGCTAAGGGAAGTTCTCAATACAAAACAAAAATGATAAAAGAAGAAACCTTGGAACATTAGAAAGGAAAAAATAATGTGATAAGCAAAAATATGGGCAAATAAAATAGGGTTTCTTTTTTTGAGTTTCTAAATTATGTTTGACAGGTAAAGAAATAAATACTATCTGATACAGTTCTACATGTATGTAAAAGGACTTTTGTAAGGCAGTAAGATTATAAGTAAGCAAAGATAAAGTTCATTTTAGCCCACTGAGTGTAAAGGATGATAAATTTTCTATACTTTCTAATTATTGCCTCAACTTCAGATCCTGTAATTGGTCTATTCAGAGATTCGTTTTCTTCCTGATTTAGTCTTGGGAGGGTGTATATGTCCAGGAATTTATCCACTTCTTCTAGATTTTCTAGTTTATTTGCTTAGAGGTGTTTATAGTATTCTCTGATGGTAGTTTGTGTTTCTGTGGAATTGGTGGTAATAGCCCCTTTAGCATTTTTTATTGCATCTATTGGATTCTTCTCTCTTTTCTTCTTTATTAGTCTTGTTAGTGGTCTATCTATTTTGTTGATCTTTTCAAAAAAACCAGCTTCTGGGTTCATTGATTTTTTGAAGGATTTTTTTATGTCTCTATCTCATTCAGTTCTGCTCTGATCTTAGTTATTTCTTGCCTTCTGCTAGCTTTTGAATTTGTTTGCTCTTGCTTGTCTAGTTCTTTTAATTGTGATGGTAGGGTTCGATTTTAGATCTTTCTGGCTTTCTCTTGTTGGCATTTAGTGCTATAAATTTCCCTCTATACACTGCTTTAAATGAGTCCCTGAGATTCTGGTTCATTGTGTCTTTGTTCTCATGGGTTTCAAAGAACATCTTTATTTCTGCCTTCATTTTGTTATTTACCCAGTAGTTATTCAAGATCGGGTTGTTCAGTTTCCATGTAGTTTTGCAGTTTTGAGTGAGCTTCTTAATTCTGAGTTCTAATTTGATTGCACTGTGGTCTGAGAGACTGTTACGATTTCGTTTCTTTTGAATTTGCTGATGAGTGTTTTACTTCCAATTATGTGGTCAATTTTAGAATAAGTGAGATGTGGTGCTGAGAAGAATGTATATCCTCTTGATTTGGGGTGGGGAGTTCTGCAGATATCTATTCGGTCTGCTTGGTCCAGAGCTGAGTTCAAATCCTGGATATCCTTGTTAACCTTCTGTCTTGTTGATCTGTCTAATATTGACAGTGGTGTGTTGAAGTCTCACATTATCATTGTGTGGGAATCTAAGTCTCCTTGTAAGTCTCTAAGAACTTGCTTTATGAATGTGGGTGCTCCTGTATTGGGTGCATACATATTTAGGATAGTTAGCTCTTCTTGGTGAATTGATCCCTTTACCATTATGTAGTGGCCTTCTTTGTCTCTTTTGATCTTTGTTGGTCTAAAGTCTGTTTTATCAGAGACTACGATTGCAACCTCTGCTTTTTTTTTTGCTTTCCTTTTGGTTGGTAGATCTTCCTCCAGCCCTTTATTTTGAGCCTATGTGTGTCTTTGCATGTGAGAAAGGTTTCCTGAATACAGCACACTGAGAGGTCTTGACTCTTTATCCAATTTGCCAGTCTGTGTCTTTTAATTGGGGCATTTAGCCCATTTACATTTAAGGTTAATATTGTTATGGTTGAATTTGATCCTGTCATTATGATTTTAGCTGTTTATTTTGCCTGTTAATTGATACAGTTTCTTCATAGCATTGATGATCTTTACAATTTGGCATGTTTTTGCAGTGGCTGGTACTGGTTGTTCCTTTCCATGTTTACTGCTTCCTTCAGGAGCTCTTGTAAGGCAGGCCCGGTGGTGACAAAATCTCTCAGCATTTGCTTGTCTGTAAAGGATTTTATTTCTCCTTCACTTATGAAGCTTAGTTGAGCTGGATATGAGATTTTGGATTGAAAATTCTTTCATTTAAGAATGTTGAATATTGGTCCCCACTCTCTTCTGGCTTGTAGGGTTTCTGCCGAGATATCCGCTGTTAGTCTGATGGGCTTCCCTTTGAGGGTAACCCGACCTTTCTCCCTGGCTGCCCTTAACATTTTTTCATTCATCTCAACCTTGGTGAATCCAACAATTATGTGTCTTGGGGTTGCTCTTCTCAAGGAGTATCTTTGTGGTGTTCTCTGTATTTCCTGAATTTGAATGTTGGCCTGCCTTGCTGGGTTGGGGAAGTTCTCCTGCATAATATCCTGAAGAGTGTTTCCTAACTTGGTTCCATTCTCCCTGTCACTTTCTTGTACACCAATCCAATGTATATTTGGTTTTTTCACATGGTCCCGTATTTCTTGCAGGCTTTGTTCATTTATTTTCACTATTTTTTCTCTAATCTTGTCCTCTCACTTTATTTCATTAATTTGATCTTCAATCACTGATATCCTTTCTTCCACTTGATCAATTGGTTATTGAAGCTTGTGCATGTGTCACATAGTTCTCGTGCCATGGTTTTCAGCACCATCAGGTCATTAAAGGTCTTCTGCACACTGTTTATTCAGTTAGCCATTCGTCTAACCTGTTTTCAAGGTTTTTAGCTTCCTTGCGATGGGTTAGAACATGCTCCTTTAGCTCGGAGAAGTTTTCTATTACCGACCTTCTGAAGCCTACTTCTGTCAACTCATCAAACTCATTCTCCATCCAGTTTTGTTCCCTTGTTGGCAAGGAGCTGCGATCCTTTGGAGGAGAAGAGGTGCTCTGGTTTTTGGAATTTTCAGCTTTTCTCCTCTGGTTTCTCCCCATCTTTGTGGTTTTTATCTGCCTTTTGTCTTTGATGTTGTTGACCTACAGGTGGGGTTTTGGTGTGGATGTCCTTTTTGTTTATGTTGATATTACTCCCTTCTGTTTGTCAGTTTTCCTTCTAACAGTCAGGCCCCTCAGCTGCAGGTCTGTTGGAGTTTACTGGACGTCCACACCAGATCCTGTTTGCCTGGGTATCATCAGAGGAGGCTGCAGAACAGCAAATATTGCTGCCTGATCCTTCCTCTGGAAGCTTTGTCCCAGAGGGGCACCCACCTATTTGAGATGTCTGTTGGTGCCCACTGGGAGGTGTCTCCCAGTCAGGCTATGTGGGGATCAGAGACCCACTTGAGGAGGTAGTCTGTCCATTCTCAGAGCTTGAACGCCATGCTGAGAGAACCACTGCTCTCTTCAGAGCTCAGCTGGAAATGCAGAAATCACCCGTCTTCTGCATCAATCTCTCTGGGAGGTGCAGACTGAAGCTGTTCCTATTTGGCCATCTTGGAAGTGACCTCAAGTGATCTGCTCACCTTGGCCTCCCAAAGTACTGGGATTACAGGTGTGTGCCACCACACCAGGCTGACAGCCATAGTTTTGTGGCTCCTCACATGGCCTTTCTTCTGTGCTTGCAAACAAAGGATGTTTTTTAAAGGTCAATAAAGTCTACAATCCTCTAGAAAGATAGCTGAAAATGACATAAATTACTCATATCATAAAGGAACCAGAATATTAATATAGTACCTGACTATATAAAAATAATTAATAAAGGGATACTAAATCAACCCTGCAAACATAAGCTTGAAAACATAAACAAAATGCACCAAATCCTCAAAAAATACAATCGTAACACACCCAATATAAAATGCATAATTAGAATAAACCAATTACTATTACTTAATTTGAATTTGTAATTCTTAAATTTTCAAGGAAACAAATCTTCAGTAACATATGGTTTCACAGGAAAATTTGTGCCAAACATTCAAGTAATTGCAATAATATAATCTCTTTCATAAAATAGAGTAGGAGGGACACTTTCTAACTTATTTCCTGAAGCTAGTATTGCTCTATACTAAAACCAGACCAGCTCAGTACAAAAAAGAAATCCATTTTCTTCATGAGTATAGATACACAAATCTTGAACAAAATATTGGCAAATAGAATTTATCAGTATACAAAAAGAAATATACATGAGGACCAAGTAGGGTCTATTCCAGTTGTGCAAGGCTGGTATTCAAAAATCAATTAACGTAATCCACCATTTTAACAGGTTAGAATCACTAAAATCACATAATCATATTGATGCTGAAAAAGCATTTGGTAAAATTCAACATTCATTTGTGATAAAGAACTCTCAGTAATATAGGAATGAAGAGACTTTTTTTTCAACTTAATTGAGACAAAGTACATGAAACAGCTTAAATTATAGTTAATAGTGAAAGAATGAACAAGTTTCACCTAAGACTTGGAACAAAGCAAGGATGTCTGCTCTTACCATGCTTTATCTTCATAGTGCTGGTAGTACTAGCCCAGCACTGAAATAAAAGCGTACAAAGGAAGAAACAAATTTCCCTACTTGCAGACAACATAATTGTCTACATAGAAAACCACAAATAGGCTGGGCACAGTGGCTCACACCTGTAATCCTAGCAATTTGGGAGGCCGAGGTGGGCAGATCACCTGAGGTCAGGAGTTCGAGACTAGCCTGGCCAACACGGTGAAACCTTGTCTCTATTAAAAATATAAAAAAATTAGCCAGATGTGATGGTGGGTGCCTGTAATCCCAGCTACTCAGGAGGCCGAGGCAGGAGAATTGATTGAACCTGAGAGGCGGAGGTTACAGTGAGCCGAGAACATGCCGTTGCACTCCAGCCTGGGTGACAAGAGTGAAACTCCATCTTGAAAAAAAAAAAAAAAAAGAGAAAAACACAAATAATTTTAAACAAATAAAACAAAAGCCCAATAAAAATAATCTCAGAACTAATAAGTGAGTTCAGCAGGGTTGCAGGATAAAAAGATATTTGGCCTGACAATTTCTTAAAAAATAATTAAACCCAAAACTACAATCTGACCCAGAAATTACACTCCTGGGCATTTCTCCCAGAGAAACGAAGACCTGTATTCACACAAAAGCCTGTATATGAAGATTCATAGCAGCTTTATTTGCAATAGCCCAACACTAGAAACAACTGAGATGTTCTTCTGCAGGTGAATGGTTAAACAAGCTGTAGCACATCCTTATCATGTAATATTACTTAATATAAAGGAATTAACTATTGAATCATGGAACATTACCTAATAAAAAGGAATTAACTATTGATGCACATGACAGCCTAGACAAATCTCTAGGGGGATGTAAGGATGGTTAATGGGTATGAAAAAATAGAATGAATAAAACATACTGTATTTGATAGCACATCAGGGTGACTATCATCGATTATAACTGTACATTTTAAAATAACTTGAGTTTAATTTGATTGTTTGCAACTCAATGAATCAATACTTGAGGGGATTGATACACTATTCTTCATAATGTGCTTATTTTGCATTTTGCATACCTGTATCAAAATATCTAATATACCCTATAAATATATACATCTACTATGTTACTACAAAAATTAAAAAAAAGGGAATCCTAAAAAAGTTAATAGTATATGGTTTCATTTCCATAATATTCTTGAAATAAGAAATTTATAGAAATTTAGAGCAGACTAGTGGTTTCCAAAGTTTAAGGATGAATGAGACTATGAGGGAAGTAGGTGTGCAACAGGTATAAAAGTGCAACATGAGGCATCCTTGGGATGATTGGGCTGATGGAAACATTCTGTGTCTTGAATGTATCAATCTTTTATTTCCAATTACATATGAATGTATGATTATTTCATATTAATAAAAAGTTTAATTAAAATGTTCGAATTAAAATATACAATATCCGGCTAGGAGCGGTGTCTCACACCTGTAATCCTAACATTTTGGGAATACGACGAGGGTGGATTGCTTGAGCCCATGAGTTTGAGCCCAGCCTGGGAAATATGGCAAAACGCCCTCTCTACAGAAACACACACACACAAAATTAGTTGGGCATGGTGGCCTGCACCTGTAGCCCCAGCTACCTAAGAGGCTGAGGTTGGAGGATCACTTGAGCCTGGGGAGATCAAGGCTGAAGTGAGCCATGATTATGCCACTGCACTCCAGCCTGGGCAACAGGGAGAGACCCTACCTCAAATACACACACACACACACACACACACACACACACACACACACACACACACACAATATATATATATATTGTATAATGTATGTATATTATATATATGTTAGCATGTATACACATACACAAGATGTATATTAATGCATCTGTCATCTAAGTATTAGTCCATGTAATATTTTTCCTTGATATAATATCTTGCTATTAGCAAAAGGTTGGTTTTCACGTAAATATTTCATAAAAAACTTTAAATCAAATAGCAAAAAACATTAATTCAAAAGTTATTTTAATTCAGAAAACCATTTAACGTTAAGCAAAGGCTTTAACTGAGAAAACGGTGTTAGTGGAAGAATACCAATATATGTTCTAAACTTATGATAATGGAACAAGTGTGGCAATAGAATAGGAATAGAAAAATCAAACAGAAAGTGTTTAGATATTGAGTTATGTGTGAATGTGTTTAGGTAGATAGATAGATACAAACTGATATTTAATAAAAGAGGCACTCACCATTAGAACAAAACATTTGATGAGATTAAGAAAAATAAAAGGTTCCCTAATATATACTGTATATAGAATTAAATTCCAGACATATTAATGTAAAAAGATAGCAGCAAAAGAACTAGAAGCATAAATAGAAATCTCTTTTTAAAAATCTTGCTGCAGGGAAGGCCTTCTTATATATTTTTATCTTTTTATTTAATTTTGAATAAATAATAATTAAAACTTCTTCCTGATTTTAAAATGCATGGAAGGATATATAGCGAAAAGTTTATTTTTCTTTTGTACCCAGCCCAGTTCTCCTCTCCATAGGCAACCAGAGTTAATAGTCTCCTGTAAAACCTTTCAGATGTATTACACTCAAACATGACTGAAAATGTGCACCCGTACTTCTCATTTTTATGTAAACGAAAACACACTATGTACACTGTTTTGAACTTTCCCTCCACTTAACGATGTTTCCCATAGTGACGGTAACTAATACTTACATGGCACTAGCCTCTGTGTCAGGCCCTAGTCTAAGCACTTTTAAAATATTTATTCATGGAATCCTTGCAACAATCCTAAGAAGGAGGCAACATGGTCATCTTCATTTTTAGATAGATAAATGATGTGCAGAGAGGTTACATTCCTCTCGTTCAATCTCCACCTTTAAAATCCAAGCTTATAAAATGATATTTTCACATCTTAATATCACTCCTTAGGGCAGAAAGCGTTTCCTCCTTCTCTATGTCTACAAAGTATTGTGTTGTATAGATGTACCATAATTTATGAACTGGTTATCTATTGTTATTTCTAAGTTTTCTTATTTTAAAAAGTATTGCAATGGAGACACTTGTAGTACTTCTCTTTGCACTTATTTGAAATACAGAATAAATGTGCCATACAGAATTTTGTGGTAAAGAGCATGAACATTTGTAATTTAAACAGATATTTGCTAAATTGCTTCCATTTGGGGTTGCATCAATGTGTACTCAAAGCAGCAGTGAAAAGGAAAAAAAAACGCTGAAAGGATATAAAACAAAATGACTGTTACGCTTTTTTCCTTTGGTAATTGGATAATGGGTGATTTTTATTTTTCAAAATTGCCTGTTACATTTTATATTCTATTGAGGTAAGATATGTGAAGGATCAATTTGTGTCATTCCTCTGCAGGTTTTCTTCCCAGTCTAACTCCACCCCATTTCCTATTCATTCATTATATGCATACTTTTTAAAGCAGGGATTTTATTTTTTAATTATTCTTAACTTCAGTATATCTTTTACACGGCAGAAGAAAGAGCACTTTGAAGTCAATATGCATTCCTAGTTTTGTAAAAATCTATGCTTGTTGAGGAGATAGATATTTATCACGAATCCATTAGCCCTTTTGAGAGAAACAAGGAGAAAGTGATTCTCCAGTTGCAGTGAGAGGGGAGTGTCCTTGGGTGTACAAACTGGTGGGGAACAGCCACATGCTTCTTGATAAGGTGGCAAGATTTCAGAGGGAAGAAATACACAATGACCAAGGGAAGGAGGGCCAGAGGTACAGAAGATAGCGGCCTCTTCAAAGGATCCTATGACACAAATCTGGTTTTAAAAGGGCCCATCCAGAAGTATTGATATGACATACAGATTGGAACAACATCTAATGCAAGAGTTTCCAATGAGAACTGGTAACTACCTACCATACGGAATTCTCCAAAATGTTGGACCTCAGGGCATTTTCCAAATTTGAGGGGACATTGAGTCCCAAAAGTGACAAAAAAATTACTTTTCATTTATTTAGTGGAGTGTGTGTGTGTGTGTGTGTGTGTGATGATCAGAGTCATACTTAAAGTACGTAATGTGAAGCTATTTCAGCCTTAAAAGGTGAAAAACTCACTAACAGCAGCTGTTACCACCCTTCTTCATTTTTCTTCCAGTGGCTCTGGGGATTTTCTGCAAGCAAAAGACTGTGCATATACATCTAGTGAAGAAATTACTGTTCCTAGTATCTGTTAATTATTAGACTGGTGAAAAAAAGCATATTTGGAAATGATGTTCAGAGATTGAAAACTTAAATGAATAACACCTTAAGAATCCTGTTTTCTGATTCTGACATTGCTTCCTTTTATCTATGCAATTTGAGCTGTGCTTGCCCTCAGCACATAAGCTTTGTCCTATTGGGACAGTGACAGAGTTAAGATCTTTCTTTGCTTTAGGATATTGTTCCTTTATTACCAAAGAGAGTATTCACCAAGCTCATAAAGATTTTCTTGAAAATGTGGGGGAAAATACTGCGTTCGTAGATATTGAACCATTTCTCTAAACAATTCGGGAGTTGATATGATTATGAACCCCCAGGACAGATTCTAGGAAAATCAATCTGAATTTTGTTTTCATATTTGAGGAAGATATTTCATCTCCTCTTAGTCTGATGCTTTAGATCCATTTTTAAAAAGCATACCATCTAGCAAAATTGGAATTACTTTTGTCCTATTCTATCTTGGTTGAATTTTATCAGTAACTGCTTTGAGATATCTGGTGAAAACACAACTATTTGGCTATTGAAAAATGTTGTGAATGGATTATTTATTTTTACTTTGTAACCAAGATGTAATGTCTCTCAAGCACTACACAAGGCAGAATTTCATTTAGTCAGAGGATATAAATTAAGAAAATATGCATGATTCTAAATTTTTTCACAAATAAATATAAGCTTTTCTGTGAGTAAATCGGTACTTTCAAGTAATGGCCAAGTAGCTGTCTTTGAAAATCTGAATACAACAGTAAGAAAACTCAGCTGCTTCCAAGATTGATTTTATTTTCTCTTATGCATTAGCTGTTTTCTTGTATCTGCTTGTTGTAGCACTGCACAAGTGACAGATCAGAGCAAACACAGAAAATGCTTTTGGTATCCCCTGAGAGCCTGGGGACCAGGCTGTTGCACCCATCTGTCATCTGCTTTCAACATTTTTTGCTCAGGGTTCAGAACTATCCCCTTTCTCTGGAGCACTTCCCTCAGCCTGTGGACTCCAACTTGCCCATGAGGCATCCTACAGCTGAAGGCTGACTTCTCTGAGAATACAAGACACCAAACGTCTTGTGCCAGGTGAAAACCACTTATCCAGAGATCCCAGAAGGTCAGGATGTGCTAGACTGCCTGAGCCCACAGCCTTACTCAAGTATTCCCACTCTCCCACTTTTCCTCACTCTCTTACAGATTTTCCTGAAAAGAGTACACCCCTTTAGTAAAGAATATGCACCCACTCCTTTCCTCTGGCTCTGGTTCTAGGGAATCACAGTTGTCATGCTGTATGTCCCAGATGAGGAGGTAGTTCAAGAATAACAAGGTGGGGAAAGACATTTTGTGTAGAGGAACAATATATGCCTCAACTGAGAAGCAAAATAGTTGGTTTAAGGGTAGAAAAATACAATTAGGTAGAAGTAATATATTCAAGTATTTGATAGTACAGTAAGGAAATGCTAATTCATAATAATTTATTGTATATTTCAAAATTGCTAGAAGAAAAGATGTGTACTATTCCCAATATGAAGAAGATATAAATGTTTGACATGAAGAATATCCCAATTACCCTGATTTTATCATTACGCATTGTATAATGCATCAAAATATCACATGCACCCCCAAAATATGTACAATTATTACACATCAATTTCTCAAAATAATCATGAAAAAACAGACAACCCAAAATCCTGAAACCTAAATCTGTCATGCTCAGAAAAGTGTTGGGTAAAACATATAATTTGAAATGGAGGAAGTAGGGTTGTGTTGAGAAGTAAGACTGCGAAGGTGGGTTCCTGTCAGCTTGCAGGGGCCATGTATACTTCATCGTCCCTGGATTACCACAGGGACCTGTGCTGGCAGTGAGAGTTGAAGCAAATTCAAATACCCTCTGTCAAGGCTAAATTCTCCCTCCTCTGTGATTCCTGTGCCTTTCCCTCCTTCATGTGTGGGTTTTGGTGAGTAACTGCAGCAGTCACAGATGTTACAGCCTGACATTACGACACTCTCAGGCATAAGGAGCCTTTTGCTTTCTTCGGTTTGCACAACTCAGAACCAATAAATCCCTCTCCCTCAGTATTTGCCCAGGTTATTTTTCTGGCTGTGCCTGATAGGAACATGCACATCCATGAAATTTAATCTGCAGTGCTGAATGTAAATATGAGACAGGAGAGGAGAGTTTTGTCTAGGATGTAAATAACAAGCACCACAAAATACCCAAGACACCCTCTGACTCTCACTGAACAATCTCCTAAAATGTCTTGAACCTCTTTTTTTTTCTTTTTTCTTTGTTTCTGTTTCTCTCTCTCCCTCTCTTTCTTCTTTGAGATGAAGTGTTACTCTGTTGCCCAGTCTGGAGTGAAGTGATGTGATCAACCTCCCAGGCTCAAGCACTCCTCCCACGTGCTACCCCAGTCTCCCGAGTAGCTAGGACCACAGGCATGCACCACAATGACTGGCTAATTTTCTAATTTTTCTTTAGAGATGAGGTCTCACTATGTTGCCCAGTCTGGTCTCAAACTCCTAGGTTCATGTGATCTTCCCATCTCAGCCTCACGAAGTGCTGAGATTACACGCGTGAGCCACCTTGCCCAGCCTTGAACTTACATGTTACCTACAATGTTCCCCACACAGTGAAATTTCATGTGTGTTGCGTACATCCACTTCTCAAAACTCTTCATCCTGGAAGCTTTCTGTGGAGCCTGAATGGGCAATTATAAGAGAAGCTGAACTGTGACCCTCTTCTCAGTTTGAAGCAATGCCCTTCTGTCCAGATTGAGAGCTGGCAGGGAAATTCTGTGATTGAGACAATGAGCTCTTGAGTTATAGATCAGACCAAATTATACATATTATGTTTCAACTGGCTTGCAGATATTGGGAATTGGGAGTAACAAATACCAGCCTATGTACCAGCTTAATCAACCTGAAGTCTTTACAGTCCCTCCAAAGGCCTAGTCAACTTGAAGTCTCCACAAAGCAGCTCCACCTCATAGAGCTATTTAGGACAAGCAGAGCCAGATTTCCCCCCACCTTATTAAGCAGCCCATCCTTCAGAATACTGGTGGAGAGCAGGATGCCGAGGTCAGAGCAGAGCGGTGGCTACTCACCTGTGTTTCTAAACTCTAACTATGATCTTTCTGTTGTACATTTTTCTAACTATAATAATAATATATGATGAAAGAAGAAAAATGCAAAACACAGTACATCACAGAGGAAAGAAAATCCATAATCATAATGACAATACAAAAATTAATGACTGCTTATATTGAAAAACCGAATCATTTTGATGCAGCTGATTTGATGCAGTCATTTTTGGCAGGGCATTTCCATTGCAGGAGGCATTGTGAAGAAGTCCTCCTGCTGCAAATCGTTGCAAATGCTTTGCTAAGACCTCACAAAAATGGCTACCTTAAAATGTAGAAGCCGAGTGTACTGTAGATAGTGCCATATGGAGGCATGATCTTTATCACTGTTCTACTCCGTTTCCTCACCCACCCTCATTCCGACTGATTAAACTGAGGGATGGCAAAAAAAAAACACACACAAAAAAAGCAGGGCCACTATAAACAGATCTGTTTTGTACATTTCTTCAAAATAAAATGTTCCTGGAGGACAATGTGGCACTAGTTATTGACATTCAAAATGGGATTGAAGTTGAAATGTGCACCCCGCGAAGTAGCATTTTTTCTTATAGAAATGAGTCTTTGAAATTAAATTGGCATTGGGTATATATATAATATATACACACATACATGTATATGTGTGTGCATGCATATTTACATACACACATGAACAAACATTTCTGTCTGGCTACATTGTTCATAATAACAAAATATTGTAAACAACCTAACGGCAATTAACTAGGAATCAATTTAACAAATTTATTGTAAAACCATATAAAGGAATTATTTGTAACAAAAACAATTACACATATGTATGTGCATCTGTGTGTGTGAAGGGATGAAATATATTATGATGCTGTGATTGGCCGGATGTCGGGGCTCATGCCTGTAATTCTAGCACTTTGGGAGGCCCAATTGGGTGGATCACTTGAGACCAGGAGTTCGAGACCAGCATGGCCAACATGGTGAAACCCTGTCTCTACTAAAAATAAAAAAATTAGCTGGGCATGGTGGTGGGTGCCTGTAATCCCAGCTAGCGTGGCTGACACAGGAGAATTGTTTGAACCTGGGAGGCAGAGGTTGCAGTGAGCTGAGATTGGGCCACAGCACTCCATCTTGGGTGACAGAGTGAGACTCTGTCTCAAAAAATGAAACAAAACAAAATTATTATGTTATGATTATAGTTTGGAATTTAATTTTTTTATTTACAACTCTGTCTCAAAGAAATAAACAAAATAAAATTATTATGTCATGATTATAATTTGGAATTTAATTTTTTTATTTATAATTTTCTTAATTTTTAAATAATATTTATGGTATTAATAGCTATGATCTAAAAGAAAATAAATGGGGACTCAATAAAAACACCTAAGTCAAACAAAAGGTACTTTTACTAGTAAACATGAAACATATTTTGAATAAAATGAGCTAGATAACTTTCCTGGGTTTTAAAAATTAAACTGGGGAAAAAATTAATTACCTGCCAATTGATCTTGCAATTCTCTGCAGTGTAATTGCTCCAAAAAATTAGGATAAGTGTGTTTTGGGAATTTAACAAAATAAGTCGAAGTTTCCTTTAAGATCTTAAACTAATATAAACACTTAAATGTTGTTCCTCAACCATGAATATACCTTTTTAAAGAGGTGTGTATTGGCCAGGTGCGGTGGCTCATGCCTGTAAACCCAGCACTTTGGGAAGCCGAGGCAGGTGGATCACCTTAAGTCAGGAGTTCAAGACCAGCCTGGCCAACATGGTGAAACCCCGTCTCTACTAAAAATACAAAAGAAATTAGCCAGGCATGGTGGCGAGCACCTGTAATCCCAGCTACTGAAGGCTGAGGCAGGAGAATCGCTTGAACCTGGGAGGCGGAGGTTGCAGTGAGCCAAGATCATGCCACTGCATTCCAGCCTGGGTGACAAAGCGAGACTCCATCTCAAAAAAAAAAAAAAAAAAAAGTAAGTATGGAGTATTCATAAATGTGACCAAATACTAAGCTTCAAATAAAGCCTCGGTGTATCCCAAAGTAGAAGTAGTAGAGATAGTATTCTCTGATAACACTGAACTGGGACAAGAACATAATAACAAAATAAAATATTAAAGAGTCCCTAACACCTGGAAATTACAAAAAAACAACAACAACAAACAAAAACAAAAACAAAAAAATCTTCTAAGATAATTTAAAAAAATCTAAGCCCAAATTGTACTCTCCCTAAAAATATCAATGATTGAAAGCCATTTGGATCAGAAGCTATGAGGTAAACCCTTGGAGCTTTAATTGAAGATGGAATAAAAGGAAAACAACAAATGGCATGGGAAAGCAGAAGGATGGATTTAATAAAGATAAAAACACAATGTAATCAATTAGAAATAAGAAAAATGGCTGAAGTAATAAATAAACCAAACACTGAATGTTCAAGCAAACCTACAAACTAGATAAAGCAGAAGTAGAAAGCACAAATACAAAAAGTAATACATAATGAAGGATAAATCACCATTGTTGGAGGAAATTAAAAGATTTTGAGAGACTACGTTGTTGGACTCTGCAAAAACAGTTGAAAGCCCAGAGTAGGGGGAAAAAGAAAGTTTTCTAAGTTTCATTATATTAAATTGACATAAACACAAACAGAATATTTGTAGACTACTTACTCTGGGAAAAATTGAGTTTTGAGAATGTTATCCCTACCTCTAAATGACAAAATTCGGATATTTTCTCATTTCACTGTAGTTAATCGTGTGAAAGAAATTAGTCATAAAAATAAGAAAGAGAATACTCATTTTCACTATTTGCTGCTGATGTCCATGTATACTTGGAAATCAGATTCAACTGATAAAATCAGTTACAATAAGGAAAGTCAGACAGGTTTCTAGACAAAAAAATTGTATACAGAAATCGATAGTTTTCCTATTTGTAAACAACAACAGCATTTACATAATGGGAAAATATCCCATTTGAAATAATCTAAAAAGTGATAAACAGCCTCTAAAAGATTCAGTGTTAAAATAATGTGATAAAATACCTCTTAATAAACTTAACATAACACAACTATCTGTATGTGAAGATGATTTTAAACATTCTTGAAGTACTTCAGAGACTTGAACAAATGGAAGGTAATGCTGTGATCTGAAATAGAAAAACTCATATTTGTCCAAATGTCTATTCTGTTTGTCTATTTTCGAGACAGAGTCTTGCTCTTTTTCCCAGGCTGGAGTGAAGTGATATGATCTCAGCTCACTGCAACCTCTGCCCCCTGGGTTCAAGGGATTCTCCTGCCTCAGCCACCTGGGTAGCTGAGATTACAGGCACGCACCACCGTGCCCGGCTAATTTTTGTATTTTTAGTAGAGACAGGGTTTCACCATGTTGGCCAGGCTGGTCTTGAACTCCTGACCTCAGGTGATCCGCCCACCTCAGCCTCCCAAAGTGCTGGGATTACAGGTGTGAGCCACCGCACCCAGCCCAAATGTCAATTCTCTCTAACTTAATGTGACCCAATTAGTAATACTTGATTTTTATTAACTGAATAAATGTAAGCTACATTTCATAGGGAAAACTAAATTTAAAAAAATGAGAATAAATCTGAAAAAATAATAAGTAAAGGGAAGGAGCCTATCAGCATATTAAATGCATCAAAACACTAGACAAAATAAAAACGTATAAAGTCATAAATAGACACAAATAAATGGGAGAGATACAACAAAGTACATGCAAATGTTATTATTAGAGAACAATAGAGTTTCAAATAAATAGTGAAATGAGAAATTATACAGTAAATGTTGCCTTTTTGACTACAAAGTAGTCATCTAAAGAAAACAAAATTATGCATACCTTACATCTTACACTAGCTTAAACTTCAAATGGATCAAAGATGTGAATACAAAAAGTCATCTTTAAGGATACTTAAAAGAAAAATACTGTATAGTAAAAATGCTTTAAAATATAAAAGTGAGAAGGCCTGTGCAATTATGAAACAAAATCAAGAAAAATTACAGTTGTGACAAATTTTATTACATTGAAAACATTTATAAGCACACAAAAAAATTGAAATCAAAATGTAAATGATCAACTGCAAAACATTTTACAAATCATATTGCAAAGAATTCATTGCCTTATTATTACAAAAGCATCCACTAGTCAATGAACAACTAAAAAATAAACTAAAACAAACAACTAAGTGGCAAATGGGCAAAAATTAAAAAGTTTCACTAAAAGTAAATTTAAGTGGCTTAATCACACTGATAATACAAGATAAGCAAAATAAATATTCAAAACCACGTGGCTTTGTTAAAAGGCCACAAAGACTATTGGGAGGAAGCCCCCAGATGTCAAATGTGAAACTATTTGAACAACAAAATAAATAATATAAATATGAATAAGCCATATAAATGAATGAGTCAATCAATCAGTTAGCAATAAATAAGTAAATAGGATAGGAGGAGAAACTCTTCCTTAGAAGATAACTCTATCCAATCAATGTCGAAGGTCGAAGGAATGATGGAAATAGAAAATCACCACTTATCTTCACTGATACATACTAAAATTGGTGGGTGAATAGATGATGAAAAATATTTGCATAGCCTGGAAGTATGTTTCAGAAGAGACTCAACAATTACAAAGGAAAAACTACAATACAGTTGAAAAACCTGTCATGTACCAGATGAAGCCAGTAATTAAATTTGACATCATCAGAAATGGAACAAATCCACATCATATGCCTGTGATACTCTGAAGAACACATCATTACTTCTGTGGTATTCTTACCATGAAATTTAGTCATGAAAAATATTAGGAAAGCCAAAATATTTTAGAAAATACCTGGCCAGTCCTTTCTAAAAATGTCAAAGCAATAAAAGAGGTGGAGGGAAAAGATGGAAGCATTCCCTTGAAAACTGGCACAGGATAAGGATGCCCTCTCTTACCACTCCTATTGTCCTGGCCAATGCAATCAAGCAAGAGAAGGAAGTAAAGGGCATCCAAATAGGAAGAGAGGAAGTCAAACTATCCCTGTTTGTGGATGACATATTCCTATATCTAGAAAACCCCATAGTCTCAGCCCCAAAACTCCTTAAGCTGATATGCAACTTCAGCAAAGTCCCAGGATACAAAATCAATGTGCAAAAATCACTAACATTTATATATACCAACAACAGTCAAACTGAGAGCCAAATCAGGAGTGCAATCCCATTCACAAATGCCACAAAAAGTACAAAATACCTAGGAATATAGCTAACCAGGGAAGTTAAAAGATCTTTACAAGGAGAACTACAAAATACTGCTCAAAGAAATCAGAGATGACACTAACACATGGAAAAGCATTCCAATCTCATGGATATGAAGAGTCCATATTGTTAAAATGGATATACTGCCCAAAGCAATTGATAGATTCAACGCTATTTCTATTAAACTACCATCTACATTCTTCACAGAATTAGAAAAAACTATTTAAAAATTCATGTGGAACCAAAAAAGAGTGCAAATAGACAAGGCAATCCTTAGCAAAAAGAAGAAAGCTGGAGGCATCACACTTCTTGATTTTAAACTATACTACAGGGCTACAGTAACCAAAACATCATGGTACTGCTCCAAGAACACACACACAGACCAATGGAACAGAATAGAGAACACAGGAATAAGACCACACATCTACACCTATCTGATCTTCAACAAACCCAACTAAAACAAGCAATGGAGAAAGGATTCCCTATTCAATAAATAGTGCTGGGATAACTGGCTAACCATGTGCAGAAGTTTGAAGCTGGACTTCTTTCTTACACCATATACAAAAATTAACTCAAGATGAATTAAATACTTAAATGTAAAACCCCAAACTCTAAAAACTCTGGAAGACAACCTAAGCAATACCATTCTGAACATGGGAACAGGCAAAGGTTTCATGACGAAGACACCAAAAGCAATTGCAACAAAAGCAAAAATTGACAAATGGGATCTAATTAATCTAAAGAGCTTCTACACAGCAAAGTAAACTATCAACAGAGTGAACAGACAACCTACAGAATGGAAGAAAATTTTTGCAAACTGTGCATTTGATAAAGGTCTAATACCAAGCCTCTATAAGGAACTTAAATTTACAAGAAACAAACAAAGAACCCCATTAAAAAGTGGGCAAAGGACATGAACAGAAAAAGAAGACATACATGTGGGGCCATCAATCATATTTAAAAGAAGCTCAAGGCTGTGCACAGTGGCTCACATCTGTAATCCTAGCACTTTGGGAGGCAAGGCAGGCGGATTACTTGAGGTCAGGAGTTCGAGACCAGCCTGGTCAACATGGTGAAACCCCGTCTTCACTAAAACACAAAAATTAGCCAGGCACAGTGGCAGGTGCCTGTAATCCTAGCTACTCAGGAGGCTGAGGGAGGAGAATCACCTGAACCCAGAAGTTGCAGTGAGCCAAGATTGCACCACTGTACTTCAGCCTGGACAACAGAGTGAAATTCTGTCTCAAAAAAATAAAAATAAAAAAAAAAGCTCAGCATCCTGATCATTAGAGAAATGCAAATCAAAATCACAGTGAGATATGATCTCACACCAGTAAGAATGGCTATTACTAAAAAGTCAATAAATAACAGATGCTGGTGAGGTTGTAGAGAAAAAGGAATACTTATACACTGTTGGTGGGAGTGCAAATTAGTTCAACCATTGTGAAAAACCATGTGGCAATTCTTCAAAAACCTAAAAACAGAAAAACCATTCTAATTAGCAATCCCATTACTAAACACATACCCAAAGGAATATACATAGTTCTATTACAAAGACACATGCACATGTATGTTCATTGCAGCACTATTCACGATAGCAAAGATATGGATCAACATACATGCCCACCAATGGTGGATTGGATTTAAAACAATGTAAATATACACCATGGAATACTATGCAACCATAAAAAGAATGAGATTATGTACTTTGCAAGAACACAGATGGAGCTGCAGTCCATTATCCTTAGCAAACTAACACAGAAACAGAAAACCAAATACCTCATGTTCTCACTTATGTGGGAGCTAAATGGTGAGAACACATGGACACATGGATGGGAACAACATATAATGTGGACTATTAGAAGGTGCAGTATGGAGGAGGGAGAGGATCAGCAAAAATAACTAGTGGGAACTAGACTTAACACCTGGGTGATGAAATAATCTGTACAGCAAACCCTCATGACAGAAGTTTACTTATGTAACAAATCTGTACATGCACTCCTGAAATAAAAGATAAATAAAAATAAAAGTTAAACTAAACCCCCCCCCCAAGGTATCAGGTCAACTAAGTAGAATGTATGAACCTGAATTTAATCCTAGATCAGTAAAGGATATTTGTAGAGTAATTTGTAAAATTTTGGTAAGGTATGTAAGTTATAGTCTTTTATTAATGTTAATTTTCTGATTTTGTTAAATATCCTGTGTTTATACAAATATTAATATTTGAGGAATATTGGTGATGGGAATACCAGAATTTCTAGTAATTTTTTGCAACACTTTTTACATCTTAAATATTTTCCAAATGAAAAGTTACAGTTTAAAAGTTAAAAATACTAGAAAATATATTTTTTCACTTATAATCCCAGCAAGAAACCAATAGTTTTATATAACAATTCTGGTTAGTGTATGAGAAAACAGAAACCTTAATACATTGTTGGTGGAGGGTAAAAATTGGTAAAATTTCTATGAGGTCCATTAATATATAAGCCTTAAATTGGAACTTAAAACCACTTGACTTAGCCTTTCTACAAATGGAATTTTATCCTCCCATTAGGCTCGCATGTGTGCAAAATGGCACATGTATAGAGATAGTCATTGCAGCATCATTTTTAATAGGAAAAGGCCAAAGACACATTCATTTTTATGCAAAGAGGACTGGTTGAGTCAGTAGTCCTCTAACAGTAACAATAAATAAAATAAAATAACAGTATTTAAACGAATACTTGAATCATAAAAGAAGAAGCACTTTTTACAATGCCTTTGAATACCTTAAGATATGTAGTTACATGGAAATGATAATGTTTATAAAAGTGTACCCCTTTTAACTTTTACATATATTGGTTTGAAAGGAAAGGTAAGAAACTGTTAATAGTTAGGAGCTAAGTAGTCACGAGCATAGACATTGCTCTGTGATTTCCTGAGTTCCAATCTCAACTCTGTCACTAATAGTTGTAATGACAGGAGTAAATTACTTAACCCAACAGATCCTCAGTTTCCTCTTCTGTAAAATGGGGAGATTACAGTTGCTACCTAAAGGGTTGTATGGAGGATTAACTGAGTTAATTGATTTGAAATGCTTAGAACTGCATCACACTTAAAAAGTTCCACAAATACTATTTTTATCACGCTTTTAAGAAGAACTTTGTTAGTGTGTTACCAGGGTAGGAACAAAATCATTCACTGTATACATTTGCATATTTTGGATTTTGAGCTGTGTGGACTGTGTTAGGTATTTAAATATAGAAGAGAAAAACAGATGAGAAAGATGAAATCAAATGAAAAAATAAAATTTTATCATTCTATAAGAAGAAAAAAATCTCAAAGTCTTCATACTTGTTATCAAATAGTGTCCCACTGGGAACCTCAGTACAAATATCTACTCTACTGGAGAGGAATTTACATCTCAATATTATACTGAATTATTGCTGTCCATATTTATCGTTTTAATATTGACTTTATGTATAATCATATTTATTCTGACAATATTAATATCTTAATTACGTGATCTGAATTTTGGACATGCACTGATTCTATTGGCTCAAAAATGCATTGCTTCTTTTTTTTCTGCAACAAGTGTTATAGTCCAAAAGACTTGCTTTTGTTGGCATAAATACAAAATATTTCTATTAACCATTAAAAATAAGATTTTGTTTCAGTATTCATGCTAGTTAAACCACATGGGATTAGTAAATACATTAATGGTACCAGGTAAGATATAGGCACAATAATTTATTAAAACTGTAAGAGAACCATACCTCCAGATTATCTTTCTACACAAACAAATTTTATAAATTTATTGTGAGTAATTATGTAAAGTGGAGAGAATTTGTCAAGCGTGGCCTTCGATAAAATATGGTTTGATACAATAAAATGCCTTTAACTAATTTAGCTAAGTTAAAAAGCTTTATTATCCTTAATCTTTGGTTCCAGAAATGGAAAATGAAGCACGAATTTCAATTTGCATAAAAAGCTATAAGCGACTGTACATATGCTCATGGGGCTTTAATTTCATAAATTCTACACTCTCTGCCAAGACCAACGCTATCAATGAAAATTAATTTGCTATCAAAAGCTCTAATTGTATTGCAATTAAACCTCATCATTACGTCCTTTTTTTAGGAAGGGAAAGTGTCCAAGCCCTTCTTGTCAAGGTCTGAGTTCTACAAGACTTTGTATCAGACTATTACAGACACTTAATAAATTTGGAGCTGCAGCCTGAAGCCACATAATATGTCTTCTTAGTTGTATTTTAATATCCTCTACTTGCAGCAGGACTATAAAACCACCAAACGTGACCCTAAACTTTTACAGTAAGAAAAATGAAAATGGCTTGAATGAAACCTTATCTTTCACATGTTATGTATATTGCTGTATGTTTAGTATACATTACTTCATTTAATGCTCAAAAAATTCATAAAATGAGGAAGTTGTTAGTCCCTTTTACAAATAAAGAAACTGTTAAAGAAGTCATATAGATTGAGCTAGGTTGGAAATCTAACCCCATATCACCTATGACTGCATTTATTCTTTCCCAGTTCTGTATCACACAGTTTTTTTCTATGCCTCTGCTCTGTATGCCTCCTCCCCAAACTCAATCAGTGATTAGATGCAGTGAAAATGATATGGGAGGGGGGCAGGGAAGTGCTGGGTAGAGAAGGGCGGGGTCCCTGGCCAAGGCTCCACCCTCAGGCCTGTGCCCATGAACCTAAGTGAGAACGGGCACTCCGGTTTTCATCCCCAAATGTTGCATTTTCCAAGACCACTCTGGCTCACCATGCCCCCATCCTGTGCCCATGTAAACCCGAGAGACCCTAGCAGGAACACACACAAGCAGCCGGACGTCGAGAGGACCAGAGGAGCAGAAAATCACAGACACCAGCAGACACCTGCAGGCCATTGGCAGCGGGAGGATGTGGAATTCTGTCGGGGGCAGTCAGAGGAGAGTCTGGCGGCTGGGCGGCCCAACTCCAGGGGAAGACCATCTTCCCATTCCATTCCCTTTCTGGCCTCCCCACCCATCTCACTGAGAGCTGCTTCCACCACTCAATAAAACCTTGCACCCATCCTCCAAGCCCACGTGTGATCCAATTTTTCTGGTACGCTAGGGCAAGAACCCTGGGATACAGAAAGCCCTCTGTCCTTGCGATAAAGCAGAGGGTCTAATTGAGCTGATTAACACAAGCCGCCTGCAGATAGCAAAGCTGAAAGAGCACACTGAAACACATGCCCACTGCGGCTTTGGGAGCTGTAAACACTCAATCCCAGACGCTGCCGTGGAGTCGGAGCCCAAAGACGCTCCCCACGACCTGCCCATCTGCATGCTACAAAGAAGTGAGCCACTCCCCTGTGGCACGCCCTGTGAGGGGGATAAGGGAACTCCTCCTGTTTCAAAGGTTTATACTGTAGTCTAGAATAATGATTCTGAAGCTGTACTGTGCTTAGGAATTATCTCTCTAATTTGCTAAAATGAAGTTTCTGATTGAGTAGGGCTGACTTCAGATCTTCTGCATTTCTAGTCAAACTCTTAGGTAAATGCCCCGCATCTGCTCCAGGGACCATGCTTTTAGTACAAAGCACTAATACCTCGTCTTCTCCCTGTGGAACATTCCAGCTCTAAGCAAAAGCCTTATGAAATGCCCATTGTACAAATTGCTTCTCAAATATTTTATACTGAAGCCTCATCAGGTTGGCCAGTCTAAACTTATTTCCAACTTCACTAATTTCATAAGTGATGAAGAATACCATATCCAAATGTGTTTTTTCTTCTTTCATTACTTAAGTAATGCATATTTGTTTCTAACCCTCAGAAAATAACAGCAAACAAAATCGAACAATAAATGATAAAATATTTACCTAAAAACTACAACGGGGCTCAGGAAAACATTTTGATGTATCTCTTTCCAGAATTATCATGAACATACCCCTTAATCTCTTGTTGGAATTATTTCTGTGTTAATAAATATGCATCTACACCACCATAAAACAATCAGAGGAACTTGCCATTTACCATGTAAGCCTCTGTATGTTAATTTCTCTAGGCCTAGTTTTCTCACCTAAAAAATAATTTGAACCAAGTAGGCTGACAGGTCCCTTTCCAGACCACTAATGGAAATCTCCCTTCTTTACATCTTTATCTCAGTGCTTTGAATTGCTGCCCACCAAGCACTCCACCCTCAGTTCTCAAAAGCTTCCACAAGTAAAAGGTTAAGAAAATAGCAGGTATGCAATCTTTGCCCATCTCAAGGGATTTAGCCTTAAAGAACTATGTACACCACGGTAATCTGCATTTAAACCTTCCTAGCATGAACTAGTATGTAAGATTTTTCTGTCTCTTCTCACTGCTGCCTTAGCTGTTGAAGGTCAGCTATGTCTTCCACTAAAGAAAACTTGCTTAGATTTACTTAGGTTTTGCAGAAGAAAATATAAAATGTAGAAAATAAAATGATGAGCCTTGAATTGTGCAAAAACATCATCTTTGAGTATGCATGTACTCTTTTTGATTTATTTAAGTGACATTTAGCACATAAATATAGAGTTTGCCATTTTATTTTCTACCAGAAGTTATTTTTATTAAGTGCTATGAAACTCCATTTAATGAAAAAGTGTCATGTTCTCATGTGCACTTTCAATGAGCTAATAAGATCAACACTAGAAAGAAAATTAAATTAGGGATGGGTGGGTGGCAAACAATTTGCTGAGCAAATCTGTACTTCTCTGTGTGGATGTTCAGTGGCTTTCATGTTTAAGAGTGCACATTTAAGGGAATTTAGTTTGCTGGGGTCTCATTTGAGAAGATAGAAAATAAAAATCTCCCCCTTTGTTTCTCCTGTTTCCTCTTTCCCCTTCCTTTCTTTCATTTACAGTCTTTATGATGTGCATGACTGTTACTCAGGACTCTTCTCTGTAAATTGAATGCCAATTTTGAACTACCTCCTATTGGGGTAGCTTTGTTCTTCTTGTTAAACTTCCAGATTTGCACCTGCAAGTTCCTCTAAAGCTACTTCAATTGTTTTCTGAACTGTGGGAATTTGGAAGGAGAGAATTCCCTGTCCCCTTGTTCCCTCCCTCCTTTCAATAAACTTGCTAATTTTTGTATTGAAACTCCTAAAATTTCTGCCAAATCTTACAATTTCATAGAACTTCAAATCTCTTTATTTTCTATGTAATCACCACTAGTGGCAGAGTACACATTTCACAACAGGGTCACTGCATTCTTTTTGCTGAAGTATTTTGTTTTCCCTTTCATACCATCATATGAGGAGCCATTTAGACCAACACAAGCCACCACCTCTGTCTTATTGTGTTCCACACCCTCAGAAAATGTGGTCTTTACTTTCTGTGATCAGTGATCTCAATTACACATTTCTGAGTATGTCCACATGTTGCAGCAGAGTTTATGAGACTTCAATAAAAATGTCACGCCTTTGTCTCTTTCATTCTCTCAAAACCACATTTTGCCCAGGAAGTGGGAGGTCCGACTCCAAACTCTGGAACCAGACTGGAAGGGTTCATGTTCCACATCCACTATTTATTGTGTGACCATTGGCAAGTTACTTAACTTTCTGTGCTGGCAATTTCTTCATCTTTAAAATGGGACTATGACCAGGCACGGTGGCTCATGCTGTTAATCCCAGCACTTTGGGAAGCTGAGGCGGGAGGATCACTTGAGTCCAGCAGTTTGAGGATGCAGCGAGCTATGATGAGTTTTCAGAAATTCATTCTCAGTGGTTGTCATTGTATGAGCCTCCAGAAGGCAACAGCCAACACCATTCCATCTCCCCAGGAAGCAATGAGCCATCCTGGACTTGCTCTGTGTGGAGCCATCCTCTGCCCCTGGTGAGCTTTGCGTGCCACAGATACATCTCAGTGCGTGAGCTGCTTACTCAACAATGAATCTCCCCTCCAAGCATAAGGTGAAAAAGAAATAAAACAGGCAAAGAAAGAAAAAAATGCTCCTAAATGTATCTCAAATGATATTTTGCCTTTGATGATTAGAGATATCTTCATTTATACGTTCATGGACTCACTCATTCATTCATTTAATCAACATTTATCAAATATCTGTGATAAAGCAAGCACTGTGATTAATGCAGGATTATAAAAAATAAGCTGATAATTTGTAACAAAGGAATGATGATGTACATGGAGCAAGGGTCAAATAAAACAAACTAAATAAAAGCAAGGAAACAAAGAAGCAAAAAGTCTACTTATGCTAAAGCCCCTCATGGAGATATTTCAATATACTCTTGAGACTTTCTGGAGTAGAAGTTTAATTCACTCTGTTGAAGCATTTCACACAGAAGATAATGTTAGAGCTGAGACTTGAAGCAATCAGGCAACTTTTAAGTTTAAATTTATTTGAATATAAGAGAAAAGCCTCATATCACAGTAAGTGAGACAGAAGTTTATTTCTCTCATATAAACTACAGACAACAGTGATAGAAAACACACCGTTTGGCTTATTACAAGACATATGCTGCTCCAGCACTAATAGATATTAACTTAATTAACACTGAAGCCAACTCTGAGCTGGTGATATTTTTAGTCCTATTTTACTTTACTTTATTTTATTTTATTTTTAGAGACAAGGTCTTGCTCTGTCACCCAGACTTGAGTGCAGTGGGGAGATCATGGCTGACTGTAGCCTTGACTTCCTGGGCTTGATCACCCTAGACGGGTGATCCTCCCACCTCAGCCTCTGGAGTAGCTGTGACTACAGGCACATGCCACCACGCCCAACTTATTTTTTAAAATTTTTTGTAGAGAAAGGGTCTGTACACAGAGTGCCTCTATTTTGTCCAGGCTGGTCTCCAACTCCTGGGTTCAAGGAATCCTCCCACCTCAGCCTCCCAAAATGCTGGGATTGCAAGTGTGAGCCACTAATCCCAGCCTTCACTTCACATATTTTTCTATTTTATCTCTAGGTTGCCATAACTAGCACTGTTGATAAATTTTAACCTCTGAATTATGGAGTTTTACTTACTAGTCTTCCTTAATACTAAAAAGTTGAGAGCAGAAAACTCACCAGTCTGTGAGTATTTGTATCTGAGCTGTGCTATTACCTGAAAGGCCTAGGTAAATGCTAAGATGGCAAAATTGATGGTTTTCATTTTTGAAGAACAGCTGCCATAGAAAACCATGCCAATGGATTGCTTGAGTATGATCCAGGAAGCAAGAGGCTAAATGAATCTGATCTCATACTCCCTTTGTAATGGGAAGACCTTGAGTAAAGGAATTTTGATTGCAGTTTCAGCCAGCTGTAGCTTTGTTTGTTTTTTATTTTGTTTTGTTTAGTTAGATTTCTTTTTACATCCTGAAGCCTGGGGAGCTGTGACAGGTGACTACAAAGGTTGACATCTCTATAGGAAGACACTGGTGATGTGGATGTGGAGGAACAGGAGGTGAATGGAAGTTTTTCAAAAGATTAAGATTTTGAGAGTATCAGGTGGGGAATAGAGGTGAGAGTGATTTTTAATATTTATATATTAGAAATGTGCCCTCTTAAGGTATTTGGTTTTGTTCTTAATTTTATGAGAAACTATATCTAATGCTTACCACCATTTTTTTTTTTTTGAGATGATACCTCTTTAGTCAATATGGTCATTTGAAGTTCATTTTCCAGAAGATTCTTGAGGAAGGACTCATAGCAACAATGTTCTCAGAGTTTTTGCATAATGCTGCCAGTTTGTTCTCTTTGTAAATTAAAAGTCATATTTATAATTTTACATATCTTAAATAAGTCCCTTTATTTTCTTCTGGTATAAAATGTTGTTGAAAATTTTATTGTATATCTAATTTTACTTCATTTCTATTTCAGAAGCTTTGTTTCCTATATGTCCAAATGAAATTTTTTAAAAATCCAGTAATCTTATTAAAATATGCCTTGATATTGGGTATTTCTAGGTGGATATCCTCAGGTGTCTCAAGTATGTGCTAGTTTTTTAATGTGCGATTTTAGATGATTTTTTCTCTATTTCTTTCCTTTTTGTTTTTTAAAAATTTAAGCCAAGGTTACTTTTCCCTTGCTTTGACTTTGTGTTCAGAGACTCATACCATTCCTATGGCAGCCTCTTTTGCTTACTGTCAATATCCGTCACTGTCTCAATTCCTTTTTATCTCTTCATATTTTTAATGCATTTTTTTTTTGCTTTTTCATCTTCCATTTCTTAAGACATAATCTTTTTTAAAAAAATTGTGTTTTATTCTTTCAGGTTTAGTCTTAATTTCTGATATTTATTTATTATACTTTCCAGCATTTGGTGATCTTATTTCTGAGTTTCATTCATTTTGATTCATATTTTTATTTCATGTCTTATATCTTCTCAATGTCTTTTAGCTCATTTTGAAATAGTAGGTTACATTTTTGGTTTGTTTGGTGGGCTCATCTTGCACTCATCGTCTATAGGGCACTTCTCCAGCTCCTGGTTCTCACGTTTTTTTCTTGTAATAACTTTGATTCAGATTTAACCTTGACACTTCTTTGTTGCTCCAAATATAAGTGTGTTTTCTGTTGTTGTTATCTTTGTTCTTTTACAAGAGAGAGAAATAAACTTCTGTCTATAATGTGAGACTTTTGTGTTTTTCTGTGAAATTAACTTCTCTGATTTAACTTTTTAGAATGAGACAAGTTTCAGGAAAGCTTTTCTAACTTTGCGGAACTCCCTCTTCAGTGTCTTGAATTTTTGGAATTTCCTGGTTGTGTTTCCTTTGCCCACTTTTGTGTAGACCTCATGTTTTCCTTTCTCTTGTCCTCTCCTGCTCTCTTGATTCAGCTCCCAAAAGTCTCTGCTCAGTGAGGGAGCCGTCCTAAAAGGGAAGGCTGGAGAGTCTCTGTGGGGAGTTCTTGGGGCATGGCCTGCTCCAATTCTTTAGTTTTTCTTCCTTTGGGCCCCTCACACTCACTGGTTCTATGGAGGGAAAACTTATTCCCAGTTTCAGATGCTGTTCTCCAGTTTGCCTTTAAGTTTCACAGAGAACATCTGTTGGTTCTTTGGAGTTTTTTTCTGTTCTCAGTTCCAATAGAGGCCACTCTCATTGCTTCCTTTGTCTTGCCACATAAAGAGTGGCTATAATGTCTATTTTGTGGCTATTGGTGTGCTTTGCAGGGCATGGGGATACCTTGGTATCTAGTTTTGTTTTAAATATTGTCTGTGTGTTTTTGGTTTCCTTAGAAGTTGCTGTCAAGTTTTATGTAGGAATTCAAGGAGATGATTAAAAACTCTCTCAAGGGCCTGGTGCCGTTAGAAGAAGATGTGTAAGGTCTTTTACAAAGCATTGAAACAAATGTTTAGCTTAGGTTTATAAAGTTGGCTTTAGGATCTGTAAAGGAGGCAAATGTGACCAAAATTACCTCGTTCCTTGATGTTCTTTTGCTGTCACTCAAATCAACAGCAAATAGCTGACTGTAATAGGAAAGAAATGTCACTAGCCCTTTATAGAAGTGATAGTCTGGAACTTCTGAATAGCATTCATTTTATTTGGAAAAAGAAAAAACGTTAAAGTATTTTGAAAGAGTTGAAGCTGTTTATACAAAATTATGATCAGTGTGGATGAGGGGTGGATTAGACACAAAACTGAGGTGGCAAAGTGTGAATTCTTCATTGAAAAATTGATATGAAAAAATATTTTATTTGTAACCTGCAATGAGCAGTTCATATTGAAGCATCTGACAGGGGTGGGGACACATCGACATACTTCAGCCTTGAGTGACTACTCCCCTTCTTACGTGTCAGCTGTTTGGCCCGGTTCTAGCTAGACTAATAAATGCTTTACATTTTATATAACTTTTGACTAATCATATGTCCCAATGGAAAACATATGCTAAAATTACAGAATCTTTACCTTGGTGGCATTTTCACCTAAATCCTCAACAGAACTAAGCCTAGAATTAAATTAAATTCTAAAGAGGAACTTGCTAAATGCTTGTTGATGGATTGACTAAGTGATAACTTGCATAGTTCAGAACTTGATGGTTTGCAACCATTATCACCTATTATTCGGTACCTTTAACTCCTAGTCAAGACAACAGTGAGTTAGATATGTTACAGATAAGGAAATGGAGGTTCAGATTACATCTAGGACATAGTCAAGCTTCCTTGTTCCATGCGTTTTGCTGTATCTACTATCCCATAGTTTCTGAGCTGATGACTATTTTGTAGGAAGAACTGGAAATTTATCTCTGTTTACACTGGCTTCAGAAATATATATATAGGCATCATTTTCATAAATTCATATTTCTCTGCTTATGTTTCTCATATACTTATTTTATCCATTTTAATGACTCTCTCCCAAATAAGGATGCCTTCTAAGAAATATATTCAAGGATTTTCTTCTTGCAATTAATGTCCTATGAAAAGCCCATGGTGATTGATCATCTGATATGTGCTAACTACTCGGCTAGATTTGTTCACAGAATTTTTTTTTTTTGGTAGCTGAATCAACTCTGTTACACACTTTTTGCAGACTTATCTTTCCTTCTTTTACAGGTCAAAGCAGTTAAATTATCTTCCCAAAGTCACATCATTAATTAGCTAGAGCTACAATTCAAAACCAGACCTAATTTCAAATTAATGTGGCTTTATATATATAAAACACTGACTTTGCCCCTGTGTTGGGATGCAATGTATAAGATTTACCACATTCCATATGTGTCCAAGGTCTTCCTATCAGATTTTTTATTTTGTTTAGTTCTGTCTCTCTTATGACTTGTCCAGAAACATTTCTATTGAATAGATTTTTAAATATACCAACCTCTACACACTACTATAAAAGGTTTTGTCATCACGTAAGCTACATAGAATGCTTATATACAGTAAGCAGTTAAATGTTTGGCTTTAAAATAGAAGCTTCTTCCTCTTGACAATGATTTAAAGCCCTTATTTCACAAGTGGTGCTCTTTAAGAATATAAGTGGTACATATTTATGTCCTAGCCAGTTCTGGAATGTAAGTGTGTGCTGTTCGGGAATAAGTGAACAAATTTTTCAGGGGGAATTTTATCGAACAACAGGTATGTCTGGGGTGGCACAGAGTGTGAATGTGTGACTGAGTTCATTGAATTCCAGAGGAGAGTCCCCCTGAATGTAATAAGTTAGAGAAAAATGATTCATAAAGGGATTGGGGGAAAATCTGATCTGCAGCTCAGGGGGTGCAAAGGGACAATTTCATTAGCAAGTACGGTTTCTCAGTATATCCATTGGTTTCTCATGTGATATGGATAGAAAAACATGCTTCAACATTATGCACAACAAACACTGTGTAAAGAGCAAAAAAGTACCATATGCAGATGGCATTGTAAACAGAATATTTCAATCAAATGATGACAAATATTAAATTAGGAATGGGTGGGTGGCAAACAATTTGCTGAGCAAATCTGTAAGAATGGGTGTGTGTGTGAAAACTTCTCATTTGAAGAAAAACTTGAGACATTACTTTCTTCCTTATTGTTCTCTAGGAAAAATGACTGGATAGACCCAGTGTGGTCAAGGATGGGCCAAGGGAATTGAAACATGTATTGCCATATATTTAGAGAGGGTAAGTGCTCCCAGTACATATATTTCATTTGGGGAGATAGGACTATAGGGTAATTTAGGCTTTTTGTGCCATTTTATAATTATTCTTTATTTGAACAGCTTTAGTTTAAGAGTGTTTGAATTGATTTAATTTGATTAATTTACATTGACTTACAGCAGCTTAGGAAAAATTATAAATGAGTGAATTTTCAACTGTAGAATTTTAATTGAAATTCAGCCAAATCCAGGGCCATTAGAATCAAGGTAAGATTCAAGTAAAAGGAAAATAGATTGAAATCTCTGGTCCTTTAGGAAGAAATGATGTTTCAGTGGGCTGACTTCATCAACAGTAAGCTTTGGTAGGGACTTTAGGTAACTTTACAGAAAGATTACTCAGCATTGAAGAGGCAGATGTGGGGATTAGAGCAGGGGCAAATTAAAATAGCATTAGACATTAGAGTTTGAAGTTTCTAGAAAGTAGCCTGGGTGATCCTAGAACTTATGTAGATTTAGGAGGACTATCCAGCAGTAGCAGGTTGAGGAAGATACCAAACAGTCTTTATGAACCAAAGTTCTTAATATGGGACCATTCATCGATTATTCATCCAGCACCAAAACAGAAATTCAAACACCCCATACATTCAAGGTGAAGTGACCTAGTGTACCGAAGGTATCAGAGCCCAGGTATTGAGGTTGGAGTGTGATGATATGATTCCAAGTAAGTGGGATTAGTAGGCAGCAAATTTGAAAGTTTCTCCATAGTAATGAGAGGCAGCAAAAATTTCTAGATTACTTGGTTCCATATCCTGTCTAAGCTGAATGGAAATGGATAGTTATCCACCTAAATATTCTTCCTTATCCTACCTTCTGATTACTGATAATTCACCTTAGATAAAGCACAGAGCTTGAACCAGGAGCCAGAGAATTAGTGAAAAAAAAGAATGATTATAATGAGCTTTCTGAGAAATATAGATGAGCAAAAGCCCAGCAAACACAGCAGCTACTGGCAATTAGAATGGAGACCTGAAGATTATGCTGAAAAATATCAACATCACTAATGATGTGTTTGAGAGGAAGCCTGGGATCTTCCTGTCCTGCAGCATCCTATAATCACTCTGTTCTTCAACAAATATTTAATAGAGCAAAATTTGGGGGCATAGTGCCAAATATTAGGGCACAATAATGACATTAAAAAGATAATAATTACTCTCAAGGAGCCACATTCTACTAAAAAATACACATCAGTAGACCCAGAATCATATGTTGATTTAGTTTTGGAAAATTATATGATTCAGTGAGAGCAAGCTGGAAGTAAACCTACTCCAGCCTCTGAGAGGAGCAGGGACAAAGGGAGAAAAGATCAAGAGACGTGAACTGGAAGTGAATAGATGGCCACAGTAGAGAGAGGCCACAGCTGCTCTAGTAATCTAGCACGAACCTTCAGCTATAGAGAATATAATGTAGTGTGAAGAAAGAAAGGGCCAGGAAAATGGCATAACACCAAACTCACCTCTCTACCCTGAGTGATTTCTGGTGTGTGATATGCACATAATCTACTTGAGAGGACAGGAGAGGAAAAGCAACGGCATGGAAGATCTTTTGCAAAAGCATGGGGTTGGAGGAAAAATTCTATGAAGAGATTGAAAATATAAGAAAACGGCCTGGTACAGTGGCTCATGCCTGTATTCCTGGCACTTTGGGAGGCTGATGTAGGAGAATCTCTTGAGCCCAGGAGTTCGAGACCAGCCTGGGTAACACTGACAAACTTTGTCTCTACAAAAAATAAAAAAATTAGCCAGGTGTGGTGGCGTGCACCTATAGTCCCAGATACTTGGCAAAGCTTGAGCTTTGGAGGCAGAGGTTGTAGTGAGCTATGATTGTGCCACTGCACTCCTGCCTGGGTGACAGAGCAAGACTCTTTCTCAAAAACAAAACAAAACAAACAAACAAAAAAAACCAAGAGAATGTATTTGTCACATAGTAGTTTAAAAGTGACAGGTGAAATTGTTGGGTGAGAAAAAGGAATTACAAAGTAAAGTGAGGCTGAGGTAACTGGAGAGAATATTTGAATCAATATACTTTTAACTAGGGCTGGTAAACAAGAATAATAAAGTTCTGAACAATTACAGCTTAGCTAATTTCAGATTTCCTAAGCCCATTAGCTCCCACTTACAAGCGGACTGTGAGGACTTTCACCTGTCTGGAAGCATTCACCCATGGCCTGAATAGTACGTGCCTCTGAGGGAGTTTCATCCTGGTGCTAGGCCAGTCATGTTTCAAATCTTGGAAACTGCTTGTAAGTTGTAAAAACTCCGTGTTTTTCATAAAGATTCTTCTGACACTTGACACTTGAACCCCTGATTAACTTATCTTTAAGTGCTAGTCTCTTTAGATAAAAATGAGGGCAATGTGTGAAGAAGAAAATTGCATGACAGAGTTAAAGATGATTCACACACATTTACTTTGAAAGAGGCTAATGGTACTAACCAGACGCTTTTCATTTCCTCCCCTATTATACTCTTGGGAGAATATTTCAAGCTTGATTTCCACATTGATTTTTTTTTGCTTTGTCTACATTTTTTTCACTTTTATTTCCAGAATATCAGATAGCATTTCTTGAGCATCTATTATATGACACACAAAGTGCCATGTAATAGATTGAATAGGTTTACTTACTGCAGAATTTCTCACTGCCTTTAATATGACAAATAAAATGCACATCCAAGAGAGACCTATAGCTTGCACTTTTAATTGATTTTTTTAACCAGAGGGCACCTTTGTTTTGAATGTCTCTCAGGAATTCCTTCTATGGAATATACCTTCAAAAACACTGGGCCAGGTCAGGAGACCAAGCAAGCGTGTAGATAGCTGGATAGGTGGATTTGAGTCACACAGCAAAAGGCTTTTGGGTAAAAGAATTTGGGCTCTGTTGACTAGACTGGCAAGGTGGAGAGACACAATAGATTTCTGTATTATTCGTTTTCTTTGAATTAAACTGGTTTACTTCTGTTTAATCCTGAAGCATTCAACATAAAGAAAAGCACAGGAAATTATATACCAGATATGCTTATGTCCTCTTTTGAAATTAGTTTGGACCATGAGGACTATACATTCTCTTAACTCAGTGTCGGTAAATTACAGCCCAAGAGATGAATCTGGACTGCCGCCTGATTTTGTCACACAGTCATGCTAATTCATGCTTATTCTTGCTTACTCAAGCTGTCTGTGGCAGTGTTTGCCCTACAGTGGCAGAATTGATAGTTGTGATAGAAACCATATGGCATACAGAGCCTAAAGCATTTACTATCTGGCCCTTCACAGGAAAAAGTTTTGCCAGCCCTGCTTTAAAGGATTGATCATATTTACATTTTGCTTTTGGAAAATCCATATGTGGTGGACACAGCAGTAGAGAGGGGGCTAACGTGTTTGGCCACTTGCCCTTCACTGTTTTTCAAATAGAAACTAAACAATGTACTAAAGCCAGCTGTAACGGCAATGCTGTCTTGTATCTCTACAAGAATAATTCTAAATGCAAGAGACCGTACTGTGAAACCATTTCTTGCCCTAAAAAAATTCTGAACTACAAGAGGGAACAATTCAAGAAGAAAACAGTGTTAAGGTACGCTAATACAATTTGCAGGTAATTGTAAATTACTGATTTGGGCAATAAATAATTGTGGTCTCTATATGTATATACACACACACACATAAACACATAAACATACACGGCACTACTTACTTTGTATGAACTGGCTGCTTGCCTTCTGGAAGGATATGTATCACTGGGATGCCAACCAGGAGCATCTTGTCTGATGCTGATATGTGTTTGTCTATGTATAAATTATTAGTAATCTTAAAATTGTGTTTCATATCCTTTTCCAATAAAATTTAGTTTCAGAAATCTCATTAAGCACACAAAACTGAATAAGGTTCACGATTTTTATAATTAGGTATATAGGTATAGTTAGATAAATATATACATGAAAATATACACATAAATATAGATATGATACAGATATAGAGATGCATACATATATAATTATATATATTAATTTTATATATATATATTTATTAAGCCAGTATTTGTCTACATGATTACTGTAGTGAGGGGACATCCATCCGGATCAGCTAGGTGTTTGCCCACAAATTGGGTGCATTCATTTCCTTTTCTCTTTCTTTTTTTCTCAGCACTGCTTGGTTTCTGATAGTATACTTCGATCAGGCAGTAAGCTCAACAGCAGGTTGATGCAAATTTACATGGATAATTCTGAGATCCAGAAATGGTATACTGAGGGGCCAGGCTATGTGGGCAGCTCCTCCCCTGTGGTTTTTCTTGTTCAAAAGCCTCTAAGCCTACTGATTTCTGCAGTTAACTCTTTTGTTTGACTAGGATGACGGCGTCCCTTCTGGTCGACTGCTGCCACAACATGAGAGAAATGCCCAGCTTAGGACTGCTTCCAGTGACTGAGGTTGCAGTTCCAACCACGCACATGAGCTGCCCCAAAGGAGCTACTCACCTGAGTGACAGCACAGCAGTGCTGTCGGGGATTTCAAGTGTCCTTCTTTCCATCTGCCCTCTCCTTTAACTCTTGCCTCTCAAGACTAAAAACTGTACCAAGATTCTCCAAGAATCTTCTCTATTAATTCCTGGCAAGTTGGAGGTGTAAATGAGACCCTGGTTAAAGTTACCCCTCTAATAGCTCTCTGTTATATGTGGAGAAAATGTTTAATGTTTTGACATCAAACATCTAGTGATGATATAAAAATTTCCTTTTGAATATATGTGGAGTTTAATGGTGGTGGGTTAGGGAGACATCTAATTAGGTGCTTCTCTTATGTTTTCATTCTACAATATAGTTTTTAATTGAAAAGTTTCCTCCTATACCTATTATGGAAGCCCAATAATTTTCAAAGCATAATCTCAAATGGGAACACAAATTTAAATACTCACAATTTAAATTTTGTGAAAGGAAAAAAAATAAAATTAAAATTAAAAAATGGTCCTTTATGTCAGGCCTCTGAGCCCAAGCCTGCACATATGCATCCAGATGGCCTGGAGCAACTGAGGAATGACAGGAGAGGTGAAAATAGCCAGTTCCTGCCTCGACTGATGACATTCCACCATTGTGATTTGTTCCTGCCCCACCCTAACTGATCAACTGATCCTGTGACATTCCTTCTCCCGGACAATGAGTATCAGAAGCTCCCCACCTAGCACCTTGTAACCCCAGCCCCTGCCCACAAGAGGAAAACCCCTTTGACTGTAATTTTCCACTACCTACCCAAATCCTATAAAACTGCCCCACCCTTATCTCCCTTTGTTTTTGACTCCTTTTTCGGACTCAGCACGCCTGCACCCAGGTGATTAAAAAGCTTTATTGCTCACACAAAGCCTGTTTGGTTGTTTCTTCACACAGATGCGTGTGACACTTTAGAGACTTTCTCTAATTTCTACTGATAATGCATGGTGATCTCTTTTTTGAAAACCAGTTTGTGGGTTAATAGTTTGACTATATGGAGGACTGTGAGAAATAAAGAGAAAATGTATTTTCTTGTGATTCAGTATTGCTGGTAGCTATTTTAACAGTTCATATTTGTATTTTGTGTTTCTTTAATTTATTGGTGTGACAAATAACTCATTTATACTCATTTATATTGATTTTAATATACCATGAATAAAGTATTTATAGTCCAGGCATTTCATTTTCTGTAATCTCAATATTCAAATGTTTGTTTGTTCTTAGAAATAGTTTTTATCTTTAATTTAGTAGATCCTAGGTGATGTAGATGAGCATTTACCTAGAAACACAAACATCCACAAACATACTTATGCATACTCACTAAAAAACAAAAATATTCAGTGCCACCAGGTGTATGTCTGAAAACTGGGTGTCTGCATCCTTCCTGATTTGCAGGTAAAATTTAATGATGATAATGATAATGAGAACAATTTGAATTATATTTCTTAAGCTTTGCTATGAACCAATACCATGTTAGGTGCTTTGCATATATTTTCTTATGCTTTCTTCAGCTTACCTTGTTAGATAATGTTCATCTTCCTCATTTTCAGATGATTTGATAGAGATTTGGAAAGCTTATATGACTTGTTTGAGGTCACTTACCTGGAAAGTGGCAGAATTAAGATTTCAAACAAGGTCTGCCATTCTCTAAAACGCAAACTCTGAGTTACTACAGTATGTAATTTTCCCAAGTTAAAAATTTACCACAAAGAGATTTCCCTCCAATTTTTTAGGCACCAACTCTTCCATAAGACCAAGAAACCTGTAGTTTCTCTCCACTGCCATCACTGCAATACATCAGTAGTGTACAATCTTTACCATTCAGAAGGTTTCACATCTCAAATCAATCACATTTTATTTTATTCCCATTCACTTTAAACTTTTTTCTTTCTTTTATCAAAAATGTTCAGAATTCCATAACTATATGATGCCTTATAAGTGCCATTTGACTTTAAAACTTCAAATTACCACATTATTATTCATCTGTGGGCATGGCCCCTAGCATAGAAAAAATAGCAGGCAGAAGTTGAGGTCCCACTAACCTGGGAGATCATCTTTGATTTTTGATTTAATATTTGTTAAAAGATGAACCAAACTGGAATGTCAGTAGGTACATTGAGCACTGCTTCATACTTGATTTAATATTTGTTAAATATTAAAAATATTAAATATGTTAAATATTAAAAATATTAAATAGTTAACAAATATTAAATCAAGTCCAGCTTCTCCAGGACTTTTGTCACTGAGATTCAGAAATATGATTTTTCTCAGTGTTCTCAGTGGAGTAGCGGGAATAGAAATGTTTGCCCTATTCAGGGATGGAGGAATCTTTTGCAACTTTTTTTTTTTTTTTTTTTTTTTTGAGACGGAGTCTGGCTCTTTTGCCCAGGCCGGAATGCAGTGGCTATCTCGGCTCACTGCAAGCTCCGCCTCCCGGGCTCACGCCATTCTCCTGCCTCAGCCTCCCGAGTAGCTGGGACTACAGGCGCCTACCACCGTGCCCAGCTAATTTTTTGTATTTTCAGTAGAGACCGGGTTTCCCCGTGTTAGCCAGGATGGTCTCGATCTCCTGACCTGGTGATCCGCCTGCTTCAGCCTCCCAAAGTGCTGGGATTACAGGCATGAGCCACCACGCCCGGCCCCTTTTGCAACTTTTATCCAACAATAGGATCAAAAGCTGAACAGAAGGTGTTCTTGACCTTAATAAACCTTGCCTACAACCCTTGAAGCTGTGCAAAATTTGACTAATGAGACAGCTAAATGGGCACCAGGACCTTGTAAGTCCTCCGCTGCCAAATGATGTGGAATTACTGGCTCTAGGAGCATAAGCTTCCTCAGAACCTTGAAGAAAGGCTGCCTGTGCTCCAGGAGGCAGAGAAGCAGGATGAACGTGTGCTTTTAACCACTGTATTTTGCTGTGTTCTGATTGCTACTTTCATAAGATGTATTAGTCCTTTCTTTGAAATATTCAAAATTTAAGGAATAAAGATCTGATCTACAAGTAGGGATGACCACATCTTTTCTTTTTTCTTGGCCAGATTTATTATGTTATAATTTATATAATAAAATTTAAATTTGTGCTCGAATTTAATTTGATGAGTGTTGACAAGCGTATATAGTCATATAAAGACTACTACCACAGTAAAAATATAGAATATTTCTATCACTCCAAAAAATCTTCTCCTCCATTTTGTGATGAATTCACTTCCCTGCCCCTTGGCTCATAGCAACCACTGTTCTGAAGTCTGTTCCAATAGTTTGGTCTTTTCCAGAATGTCATCTACATGCAATTATATAATATGTACTCTTTGTATAAAGTTTTTTATTTTGGGATTTATCCATATTTATGCATGTGTTAATAGTCTGTGATTTTTTGAACCATATTTTATTACATTGGTGTACCACCATCTGTTTGTCCATTAGCCAGTAGATGGACATTTGAGCTGTTTTTAATTTTGGGCTATTATGAATAAAGCTATTATAAACTTTCCAGTAGAGGTTTTATGTGGTCAAATGTTTTCATTTTTCTTGGCTTCAGATTGATTTGTACTATGCCTTTCTTCATAAGAAACTGCCAATTTTCAAAGTGTCTGTACCATTTTGCATTTCCAAGAGTTATATATGAGTTCCAGTTGTTTCTCATCCTTGTCAACATTTGGTATTGTCAGTTTTTTCAAGTTGAGCCATTCTATTGGCATGTACATCCACATGGTTTTAATTTATATTTCTCTAAAAACAAATGATGTTGAACGTCTTTTCATGTACTTATTTGCTATCCATTTGTCTCCTTTGGTGAAAGTGGCGTCTGTTGAAATCTTTTGTCCATTTTTAAAATTAGATTGTATGTTTTCTTATTATTATATTGTTAGAGTTCTTTATATACTTTCTGATAAAGTCCTTTGTCAGATAACTGTTTGCAAATATTTTCTCTCACTTTTTGGCTTAACACTTTTTTTCAACACTGTCTTTCAACAGGCCAACATTCTATATTATTTTAAAGTACAATTTATCAATTTCTCTTGTATGATTTGCACCTTTTGAGTTCTAAGCTAAGAAATTCTTACTAAGCCCAAGGGCACAAAATTTTTCTTTTAAAAGTTACATAATTTTATCTTTTGCGTTTAGATCAATGAGGGGTCTTACAAAATTTCATAGAAAATGACTATTATGAAAAAATCTATGCATGAATTTTAAATTTTTTTCATACCAAAATAAGCTCATACTAACTTTTTATAACATGTCTTAACAGGATCTAGTTTGAGGAACTAAGAAGTTTAAGACATTAGTTAAAAGAGCCCCATCAGAGCAACATAAATTCTGCTAAAATTAAAACAAAAACAAATACCAAATATATGGTGAAGTTTGGGTGGAAGAATAGTGACTCATTGATGCTTTATGAAAAATTTATGGGGACAATGCCCAGAGAAATTAGCAGTTTACAAATATACAACTTATTTTAAGAAGGGACAAGACAAGGTTAAAGATGGAGCCCACAGAAGCAGACAATTGACATCAATTTGCAAGGAAAAAATCTATCTTGTTTGGCCCTAGTTGAAGAACAATGATTAACAGCAAAAACAATAGCCAGCACCATAGACACCTCAATTGTTTCAGTTTACAAAATTCTAACTAAAAAATTAAAATTGGGCAAACTTTCCACTTGATGGGTGCCAAAACTGTTGTGCCAGATCAGCTACAGTCAAGAGCTGAGCTTTCCATGAAAATTGCAAAGAAGTGAGATCAAGATCCTGAGGCATTTCTTTAAAGAATTGTTAACAGGAGATGATACATGGTGTTATCAGTACAATCCTGAAGATAAAGCACAGTCAAAGCCATGGCTACCAAGAGATGGAAGTGGTTGAGTTAAAGTAAAAGCAGACTCATCAAGGGCAAAGATCATGGTAACCTTTTTTTTTTTTTTTTTTTTTTTTTCGATTCTCGAAGTATTTTGCTTGTTGACTTTCTGGAGGACAAAAGAATGATAACATCTGCTTATTATGAGCATGTTTTGAGAAAGTTAGGCAAAGTTTTAGGAGAAAAATGCCAATGCCCCAGAAAACTTCACCAGAGTCATTTTACATCATGACAATGCTCCTGTTTATTCTTCTCCCCAAGCAAGGTCAATTATGTGAGAGTTTTGATATGAAATTATCAGTAATCCACCTTAAGTCCCCATTTAGCTCCTTCTGACTTCTTTTTGTTTCCCAATTTAAAAATAATCTTTGAAGGGTACCCATTTTTTCTTCAGTTAATAATGTAAAAAAGAATGTCTTAAATTTGATTGTGCTTATGTCAAGAAAGTTTTTAATTTTATCTTTTAATTCAATTTTTCCATGAATTTTTGAAGTCCCCTTGTACAATCTAAGTTAAATTTTTATGTTGTGATAAAGGTTATGTTGTGCTGAGGTTTACATTTTACATATATATGTTTAGTTGTTCCAGCACCATTTGTTGGCTATCCTTTCTAAATTAAATTACCTTAGAACCCATGCTGCAAATGACTTAACATATTTTATGGGCCTATTTCTAATATTTTCTGTATTATGTTCCATTCATCTGTATATTTATAAACAGAAAAAACACACCTGCTCAATTACTATGGATTTATAATTCATTTTGAAATAAGGTAATGTCAATCTTCCAGATTTGTTCTTTCTGTAAGGTATATTAAAATTTTCTTCCCTTTTATTAGTTGTAATTTTTAACTTTTGTGGGTTCATAGTAGGTGTATACATATACAGGGTACATGAGATGTTTTGATACAGGCATGCAATGTGGAATAAACACATCATAAAGAATGGTGTATTCATCCCCTCAAGAATGTACTCATTGAGTTGCAACCAATCCAATTACACTCTAAGTTATTTTAAAATGTATAGTTAAATTATTATTGACTATAGTCACCCTGTTGTGCTATCAAATAGTAGATCTTATCAATTCTTTATATTTTTTGTACCCATTAACCATCCCAACCTCCACCTCTCGACACCTGCTGGCACCCCTGCAACTACCCTTCACAGCCTCTGGTAACCATCCTTCTACTCTCTATGGCCATGAGTTGAATTGTTTTAATTTTTAGATCCCACAAATAAGTGAGAACATGCAATGTTTGTCTTTCTATGCCTGGCTTATTTTACTTAATATAATAATCTCATGTTCCATCCACGTTGTTGCAAATGACTGGAACTCATTCTTCTTTTATTGCTGAATAGTTCTCCATTGTGTATATATACCACATTTTTTTAAATCCATTCATTAGTTGATGGACACTCAGGTTGGTCTTTATAGGTGAAGTGTGTTTCTTGTAGTCAGCAGATTAAAAGGTCTTATTTTTTATTCATTCAGCCAGTCTATGTGTTTTGATTGGAGAGTTTAGTCCATTTATATTCAATGTCATTGATATGTAAGGACTTACTTCTGCCATTTTAAAAATTTGGTTTCTAGTTGTTCTGTGGTCTTCTTTTCCTTCTTTCTTTCATTCCTGTCTTCCTCTAGTGGAGATGATTTTCTCTAGTAATACAATTTAGTTTCTTGCTTTATATTGTTTGTGTATCGTTGCATTTTTTTTTTTTTGGTTTAAGGTTACCATGAGGCTTGCAAATACTATCTTATAACCCATTATTCTAACCTGATAACAACATAGCACTATTTGCATAAACAAACAAGCAAAAATACCCCATAGTAATTTGCTTTAACTTCATTCCCTCTGTTTTTAACATTTTGTTGTTTTTATTTATATCTTTGTATTGACT